>NC_000005.10:170912839-171215869 GCF_000001405.40 Homo sapiens | reverse complement strand
CAGAGTGAACAGGCAACCTACAGAATGGGAGAAAATTTTTGCAAGCTACTCATCTGACAATGGTCTAATATCCAGAATCTACAAGGAACTTAAACAAATTTACAAGAAAAAAACAAACAACTCCATCAAAAAGTGGGCACAGGATATAAACAGACACTTCTCAAAAGAAGATATTTATGTGGCCAACAAGTATGTGAAAAAAAAGCTCATCATCACTAGTCATTAGAGAAATGCAAATCAAAACCACAATGAGATACCATCTCATGCCCATTAGAATGGCGATCATTAAAGAGTCAGGAAACAACAGATGCTGGTCAGGCTGTGGAGAAACAGGAATGCTTTTACACTGTTGGTGGGAGTGTAAACTAGTTCAACCATTGTGGAAGACAGTGTGGTGATTCCTCAAGGATCTAGAACCAGAAATATCATTTGACCCAGCAATCCCATTACTGGGTATATACCAAAGGATTATAAATCATTCTACTGTAAACATACATGCACATGTATGTTTACTGCAGCACTATTTGCAATAGCGAAGATTGGAACCAACCCAAATGCCCATCAATGATAGACTGGATAAAGAAAATGTGGCACATATACACCACGGAACACTATGCAGCCATAAAAAAAGAATGAGTTCATGTCCTTTGCAGGGACATGGATGAAGCTGGAAGCCATCATTCTCAGCAAACTAACACAGGAACATAAAACCAAACACCACATGTTCTCACTCATAAGTGGTAGTTGAACAATGAGATCACATGGACACAGGTAGGGGAACATCACACACCGGGGCCTGTTGGGGGATGGGGGGCAAGGGGATGGAAAGCATTAGGACAAATACCTAATGCATGTGGGGCTTAAAACCTAGGTGATGGGTTGGGTTGATAGGTGCAGCAAACCACCATGGCACATGTATACCTATGTAACAAACCTGCATGTTCTGCACATGTATCCCAGAACTTAAATTTAAAAAAAAAATCATCTGCCTGTGGCTGACATAAAATACTTTATAATATACAATGCAATGATTTTTTCCCTTTAGTATTAAATGTTCTATCAGTAATACATAATATTAATTTTCTGGTTAAAAAAATGGAAATATAATTAAAAAGCAAACTAAATTTTTAATATAAAATACAAAGCCACCCTTCCTTTAAGGCACCTATGAGAGTGGCTTTTAAAAATGAAAAGCTTTAAAAAAAATGATACACACATTTCTTTATTTGCAAGGTCTTTCTTCATCTCTTGTTTTAGGGTAAAAACTTTAAATTATTGCTGTGAAAAACTCAGCACCAGAGATAACATTAGAGCTGCAACCCATACCCTTCCCTGTCTGGATACCTCCCTTCTAAACACATAGTTTACAAAGGGCAACTCATGAAACAGGATGGCTAAGTGACATGTAATTTGGTGCTAAGCCATATCCACAATGACATATTTTAAGCCCAATTAGCTTATTGCCAGATTTTCTCTTTTAGCTACATCTTTGTTAATATTTATATGGAGAATATTTGAATTTCTGCCAGTCTATGCAAATTATAAGGTCAACTGGGCAATTTCAGAGAAGTATTATAGTTGCTCTCTCAATGAAAACTGTGAGTGTATAAATCATCCAAATACATGCATCTTGGCATAAAGGAAGAAGTATAGCTTAGAAGTGAAAGCAGGAATAATTCCCAGAGCTTCTGAGGCAAACTATGTTCCCATGAATTGAATTGCTGTGAGAACCAGTTTCCTTATCCATCAAATAAAGCATCTCAACTCAGAGACCTCTAAACTTCTTTCCTGCTTTAAAATTCTATAGAATTGCATTTAAGCACTGAAATAGTTAAAATAGCTGCCCTCCCTTCATTTCGTACCTTTGAATTTTTAAATAATGGTGGCTGCAGTCTTCCAATTTATTTTCCATTTCCCTAGTCCCCATAGACAGCCAAGTATACTGTACTTTTTTCTCTCAAAAGGCCTCAATCGTATGTCTCTAATTCTGTTTTCACTAATCATCTTAAGTCTTGGTTCCTGGGCTCTTGCTAACTACCTTGGAAAGACACAAACCAAAAAAGAAAGTCTGACTGTTGGAGATTTCCGCTAATAGTAGACTGTTTTTCTCACTGCCTGTCACACTGCTTACCTGTTTTGCATAAGTTCTGCCATAAGTTTCAAGATGGGAGTTGTACATGTTGGCTCTCCATACCACCGTTCAACAGCATTCTGAAGAAGGGGAAGGTACGTTGGGTACCTTTTATAAAGCCTGTTAAAGAATTTAAGGGTCTAAAGAAATACTGTTTCTGAAAATTAGTGCCACACACATACACACACACAAAAGGGAATCCACATTTGTTCTATATTTATACTAATTTGTTCTATGTCTATACTATACAATGGCATTTTATAAATTGCGCTCCCTAACCTGCACAGATATACATACATTTTTGGGGTTGCTGGCAATTTGTTCTTATTTGTAACATGTCCTACACGTTATATTACTTTGTTCTTAGAATACTGTATAAATAAAATACACATTTTTAAAGTATCATATAAGCAGTACATTTAAAGATTTATGCCTAATGTTGTAGGAAAGGAAAATAAATTTAGTGAATGAGGATAAAAATATATTTGAGTTATTATTATCAGTTTCTTGGGTACTATACTACTTAGAAAAATATTTTTATTATGAAATTAATAAATATGTAAAAGTAGAAGGAACTAGTAATAAACCTCACATATCTCTCAGTTTCAAAATTACATTATTCTTTTTAAAAAAATATTGTTGAATTGCTCTTTTTGGTCTCACTGTAGCTCCAAGGAATATCTGGGATGTTGGCTTGACGAAAAGCTTTGAGTAACTATTAATCTACTCAACATCAGTGTCACTAAAGATAGTCCCATGTACACACAAGGAGACATTCTCTAACATCCTTATTAATGCTAAGGAGTATATGCCTCTGATAAATCTATGCTGAAGGCCATCAGAACCTGGAAAACTGACCCAGCTCCACTGGCCCTTTAATTTACACTGGGTATCTCCTTGCCAAGTAGACATATGAATATAGGATTAAGGTCCCAAACTGTAGCAGAAAAACTCTATGTCACTGCCTTAATTTCTCTTTTCTTTTCCCAATCCTCAAGTCTCTTTCCGATGTTTTCCAACATACTTGTCTTTTGTTTCAGATCAAAATGCTCAACTAAATCACTTAATGGTGTTTCTTTTCAGTGTGGTCCGGGTAGAAATCTCCATGGTGAGGTCATCACAATTTTCTTCCTTGCTCTTAGAATAAATTTCAAACTCCGTAGCACGGTGTTCAAGGTCCTTTAAGATTTGGTTCTTGGCTACCTCCAGCTTCATCTCTTAGCATTTCTGCTCTATGATTTAGCTTTTCATAACTCCCTGCAAAACCACTAATGCCAGCTCTTATCTCCATTCCCTTATAAACCACTTCTTCTCTCTAACATATCCCTGTCTTTCAATACCTAGCTCAAGTTTTACCTCCCATGGGATGTTTTCTCTATTTTATCCAAAGGCATCAGTCTCTTCCTCATCTATGTTCAATGAGCACTCATGACCATATCTCTCTTACAACACAGTATGTTAGGGTTGGTTGCTTGTGTTATTTGTCTGCCCCATTAGATAGTGCATTTCTAAAGAGCAGAGACCCTATCATCTTCCTGCTAATTTCTATTTGAATGTCAGATTTCAATATAGGTGTCAATTATCCCAGGAGGCCTTCTCTGACATCACATGCACTTGCCTCCTACCTCTCCCTAATGGGTTAGGAGTGTCTCCTGTGTATGGTGGTGGAACCCGGTGCTAGCACAATCATAGTACTTGTATATCTCTCCTATTATAAGCTTTTTGAGGGCATATACTAAGTACTTATTGAATGCATGGCCTGACACAAAATAGATTTCAATACATACTTGTTGCTATAAACTTGCAACCTAAAAATGAAGTGTAGCTTATTTGATTAGAACTATTTAATTGTGTATTTCACTTGGGAGCTTTAGAAAACAGTTCACATGATGTTCAATGAAAATAAGGCATCTATAACTTTAAGAGTGGTATGCTTCCTAAAAGTGCAAAAAGCAACACTTTCTCCTATTAGACAGACATACCATGTTAAGGCTGCATTTGTATATACTGAAACAGTTTTCTTATCAACTATTTTCTGAAGTCCTATTCTATAACAAGCATTGTTTGACACTTTCCAGAGACACCAGTAAAAAAAAAAAAAAAAAAAAAACCCTGCCCTCATGGAATTTATATTCTAGTAAACAAAATAAATACACATTAGAAAGTACTTCAAAGAAAGTCGGGCATGGTGGCTCACACCTATAATCCTAGCACTTTGGGAGGCTGAGGTGGGTGGATCACTTGAGGCCAAGGGTTCGAGACCAGCCTGGGCAACATGGTGAAACCCTGTCTCTACTAAAAACACAAAAATTAGCCAGGCATAGTGGCGCTCGCCTGTAATCCCAGCTACTTGGGAGGCTGAGGCACAAGAATTGCTTGAACCCGGGAGGCGGAGGTTGCAGTGAGCCAAGACTGCACCACTGCACTCCAGCCTGAGTGACAGAGTGAGACTCTGTCTCAAAAAAAAAAGTACTACAAAGGAAAATAAGGCAGGGAAGGGGGATAAGAAGAGAGTGTATATGTGAGAATAAGGTTTCAGTTGGATGAAAATAACAAAAATAAAGTCAATCCACTTGATTAACTTTATTTTGACTGTTATCAGACAACTTACTGTTTTGTTTCTATGGACCAGAAAAGCTGTTATTTTTGATAGATGTAGATACCATGTGCTATGTACTATGCTAAGGGCTGGGGATCCAGAGTTAAGAAAGGTATAGCCTTTTTTTTTTTTTTTTTTGACGGGGTCTTGTTCTGTTGCCAGGCTGGGGTGCAGTGGCGCAATCTTGGCTCATTGCAACTTCTGCCTCCTGGGTTCAAGCGATTTTCCTGCCTCAGCCTCCCAAGTAGCTGAGACTACAGGTGAGCACCACCATGCCCGGCTAATATTTCTATTTTTAGTAGAGACGGGGTTTCACCATGTTGGCCAGGATGGTCTCGATCTCTTGACCTCATGATCCACCCACCTTGGCCTCCCAAAGTGCTGGGATTACAAGCATGAGCCACCATGCCCGGCCAGGAAGATATAGCTTTTAATCTTGGGGAACACATGCTCAAATTAGGGTGACCAACATATAATAGGGATGCTTTGAGTACAGAAATTCTGAACCAATGCCACAGGGGTACAGGTGAGAAAATATTCCACCAAGGGACCTCCTGAGCACAAACTCATTAGTGGGAATGCATCTGGAAGGCTCATGAGAAAATGGATTCAACCCAAATCTCAGAACCTAAGAATATCAGAGGCACACATAGGCCTCTGCAAGGCATCCTATAATGGCATTAGGACCAGGATATTTTTCAGAGCACACAGTATTCACTACGGGATAAGGCAGGGAGATATAAGGGGATGCTCCTTTTTCTGTGTGGAATGAGAGTGGTGCCAATTCTAATATGCTTCTGACAGAGGTGACTGCCACAGAGAAAATGAGGGATTATTGGAAAGCACAATAGAGAGGTTAAAAGGGCTGCAGAGTGAGAGTGCCAGGCTCAATTACAGGGTGAGAACCAGAACCCACTCTAGGAGTTTAATTTTCCAATGGCCTTGTGAGGACTATGTACATATGAGTAGGAAGAAGAGAATGGGAGCCCTTAGGTAGAAGAAGCACAGATCTAATTGCTTTCACTGAGATCTTCTCTATGAATTTCTAAGGTCCACATCAGATAAATTAAAAATCAAAGGCATTAATGATGTGACACTGCCTTACAGGATACCAAATATGAAAATGTGAAAAGTATCAAGTTTGCTTCTTTACAATATCTATCCATCCATCCATCCGTCCGTCTGTCCGTCCGTCCATCTATTCATCAGTTGTTAATACCAGAAGGCAAAAGAATTTTCATTAAAAGTGTTAGGAGACAAGGGTTTGGGGATGTGGTTCCAGAATAGAAATAGCTTGCCAGTTCAGAGCTTAAAGGTACTCCATGAATATGTAAACATCTGGACCTTTGTTCACAAGGGGACTGCTGCTGGAAGCCTTTCCTCTTATGTCTGGCAAATGCCTATCCATCTTTCAAGGCTTTGCTCAACTTTCACTTCTCTTGAGAAGCTTTCTATATCTTGCAAAAAGCACTGCTCTTTTTCCCATACATGCTCATATAGCCCTTTGCATGCATCTCTGTTATAACGCACTGACATTTTATTGTTTATTAGTCATGTGTGATCAACTAGAGAGTGGGCTTCTAAAGAGCAATCATTTTATTCATTCTTTCATTCCTTTTGTCTGGCACAGAAATAAAACTAAAAAAAAATAGCTTGCTGAACAGTGAATTTTCAGCTTTACTTTCTTCTCTATTTCAGTTTGCCCAAAATGATACTGCCAATTACTTTCTTCTTGAAAACAATTCTGATTTTCTTAGTCAATCAAAACCATTAGTTTCTTTATACTACCTATGGAATAAGGGTCTAAATTCCTTAGACTGATATTCAAGAGTCCCAAACAAACTACATTTCCAACCATGAAATGAGTGGTATATGTAACAAAACATCTTCACTACTGACTCCCTAAACCTGATGCCTAGGCCAACCGAAAACCTGTATTTCTTCCTATTTCCATATGGTCCAATCCTACTTATTTGGTTAAGACCCAAGGAAACACCTTCACCTTTCCAGAGAGCCCTTCCTGATTCCCCAGCTAAATGCACTCACTGTCCTGTTTGTATCTTTGTTATGGTTCTTAGCACTTTCTATATTTGATTATAGTAATTTATGTAAATAAGAAACTGACTTTGTTTGGGGTAGTATCTATACTCCTCATGAACCTAGCACAGCCCTTAGCCCACTTTGCTGAATAAGTGAGCAAATGGGATTCCTTTGTCTCATTATGTATCAGGGAACAGAACTAACAACAGCTGTAGAGTATTTACTTTATGTCAGCCACTGTACTGGGCCCTTTACATAATCACAGAATCATGACACTTCTTACAACATACCTGTGAGATAGGTTTTATTAGTCTTGTTTTATGGAAAGCGAAATTGTGATTCTGGGATATTAAGTAGCTTACTCAAGACCCACAGTTTAAGTGGTGAATCCAGGACTGGAATCTAGGACTGTCCTATTCCAAAGTTTGTGCTCCTCTATGTATCTTGTTATCTTGCCTTGCCACTGTATAACAGCACTGACTTCCTGATTAAAAATCAGTGAGTTCAATGATCAGATTTTAACAGTTAAAAGACTGCATATGAGGAAATAATGTCATACAAATTCTTAATTTTTTTCCCAACTTCCCTCTGGATTTTTGATACTTCAGTTTAAGTATGATCTAGGAAAATTTTAAACAAGGAGATCAGATGCACTGCAAGCTAAGGTGTTTTCTTATTGTTGCATTCCCATCATAGGGGCAAAGAAGTATGTCAATGATCTTCCTTCAATTCTCCAGCCCTGGAAACCATTTATCAAGATGGTTGCTGTGTAGTTTCAGGCAATTTAGTTTTGGAAGGACAGAGTGAAAAGCAATGTAGTTTGTGTGGCAGTTAATGCAGTCAGTGTTTATAGAAATGTTTTTGAATTAAATAGCTAACCACTAAAATAGCATTTTATCAAATAATCGCCATAAATAAAATGCATTTTGACTTTAAGATGACATGTGCTCTTACAGGATGTTTCTTCTGCATGCTAAGGATTGTATAACAAATTAAAGAACACACATTTATGTGGATAAAAGGCAAATAAACTTTCCCCAGCAGTAATGTGGAAATCATCACTGACGGTTTGACATATCAATATTTCAGGAAAAATAAATGACTTTCATATCCATGGCATTTTTTTATCATACTTATTCATTTTTGCATTACTTGAATACTTTGAAAAGAATCTGTACTTTATCACCTGAAACTGCTTAAAGTATTTCAAAATATTTTAATAAAGCTTTTTGAATTATCAAATAATATAACTTTTAAACAAATTTTACTATTATTATAAATATTTGCTCTTCATCCCTCGCCCAAAGGAAAACTATAAATCTTGTCTCAACTGAATGAACACCATTTATCATATTCATTTTGTTGTCAATACAATTATGAAAAGCCCTTGGCCTTTTCCCAAGGAAGCTGATTTGCTACTGAAACTCAATTATTATAAGCAACGCCAGTACCAAACCACCCCATTTGGCAATCTAACACAGCTTCTGGCATAACTGACACTTCTCTCCGCCCCTGACCCTGATAACTTCAACATCTATGGTCAAATGGAGGAGACAAAGGTTTCTAGTTCACAAGAAAACATTAAGTCCCAAGATTTTCCGTTTGCTATTTTCTGCCATCTGCTGGACAAAAGTTTCATTTCAGAAAGGTTCCCCCGCTACCCCCAAAGGAGCTAAATAAGGAAATGGAAAACAATACAGTATCTTCTCTAAATTTTGGGCAGTATCAATTACGGCAGATAGTTCTTCTTTGACACTGAGGGGAAGGTTTCTGACCTTGACTCTTGGTTGAAACTGTTGAAGAGAAAAACATGAAATGTTAATCACTAGATAGCCTAGAGTTGTAGACTGGTTTCAAGATCACCATCGATATTACAGTGCCCAAAGTAGACTTTTATTATTTTTCAAATAATGAAAATTTTGATTTTGAGAGTTGCTCTTTATGTTTAGAGAAATAAAAGAGTCAAGCTGGGTGCAGTGGAGCACACCTGTAGCACCACAGTCCCAGCTAGTCAGGAGGCTGAGGTGGGAGGATCGCTTGAGCCCAGGAGTTTGAGTCCAGCCTGAGCAACATACAAGACCCCGTATCTTAAAAATTAAAAAAAAGGCAGAAATAAAAGGGTCATATATAATTCCAGTTTAACTGTCACTGTTAAGAGAATTTTAAGACTTTCCATGTTGAAATTTCATAATCTCTGTACATATTATATGTAGATAAAAACCATGTGCATGATTACTCAATGACATAAAAATTTTATCTGTAACCCTTCTCTGGGTACATAAATCTGATGAAGTATATTTTAATAATAATTAAAGATATGTCAGTATCAAATTAATGTTTAAAAATTTTTATAATATGTAGAGTTCTCCCTAAAACATGCCTAGATCCCCTATTAGTTATATTTTTGGCCATAACTGTGGCATAGTAGTTGACAGTTACCTTTAAGAAGTTTCTATTGCAATTTAATTTACAGGAAACTTTGGATAAGGAGGGTTTAAAAAAAGTAACTGAGAAATAGTTTAGATTAAAAAGTAAATTAGCTTTCAGATTATATAATTTTTTTCACATGCTCTGATGGTTTCATGCATAAAAGACATGAAAGCATTATATAACACTTAGATGACTTGCATACAATATCACTTCCTGCTGGGATCAAACATAAGTCATACAACACTATTAGAACAATATTAACGACCATTTACAACTACCAAAAATGTGCCAGACATTATACAGAGTACACTTTACCTATTTTAATGGTTACAATATACCATGATACTGAATTGTATCTGTTTTCAAATGAGAAAACCAAGACTCAGACAGGTGAAATGACTTGCCAAGGTTCACAACACAGTAAATGAAGAGCTGGGATTTTAAGCCGGGTCTGTCTATCACCAAAGTCTATGCTCTTTTAACTCTTACATGATAAGGCATTTCTGTGGGGGGTTTTTTTTTTTTTTCCTGTCTGTACTAACCCTTGGCAAAGGTCAATTCAAATTTTACACCAAATGACAAACCTTGACTTATTTATTTTTCCCTTTCCATGTCCATTCATTATCTTCATGATAATGAAAAACTGTGGCATGATGGGTTAGGCCTTGAAGAGATAAAATGATCTTCCCAGCCTTGCTAATTGAGATGGAGATTCAAATCTCCCCTCAAAAATGTCAAATGGTAGGATTCATTGATCCCTAAAGATGTTAGCCAGATTATCCCTTCAACTCCAACATAAACAATCATTTGGGGGAAGTCATTTTTAAGTTATCAATATTTAACGGCACCAAAAAAGTGACTTCTCTGAGCTGGGTCTCCAAATACTGTGCTCAGTTATCTGCTCTGCTGCCACTGTGCTGTAATTTTTAGCTGATTACACATTAGTTCATTTAGCTTTGTTTCCTCTTCCCTACTGTGCCATACTATTAAACGAAAGCGAGGGGCCTGGCATCCCTCTGTGCACAGAGCTGGTATTGTCACAGTGTAATAAGGATACATCCAGTCAAACAGCATGGTGTAGCTGGTCTTTGTGTTCAGTGCAAAGGCAATCCCTCGAAGATCTCTTGCCAGCCCGATCAACATACGCTGTCAGTGGGAAAGAGACACAGTAATTGATTTTCACGTTAGCGCAGAGCAGATGGAGTAATAATCAGGCAATAATGACCACATATCTGATTTTGATTCATTAGCTAAAATGTCTCGTTCAGACCTCTTTCTACAGAAAAGCACAGACTCTTTAAACAGACCATCAAATCTGCTGATCAACTCCACTTTACTTCTTATAAATTTAGCTAAGTCATAATTCCAGTAGTGTAGCTAAGCATTTAGAGTCTTAATATACTTTGTTTCTGAATAATGCCAAATCTGAAAAAAAAGATGAGGATTGATAATTACACAAAACAGATATGTACAGGGTCTAGACATTATTTAATAACAGCAAATCTTGAACATCGGCTTGCATGCAAGCGGCCCCACAACATAATTTAGAGTCTATCCTAGAAAGGCACTGGCATTTAAAAATTCCTAATGAATATCCTTAATAACTTCAGGACAAAATAAAACTGGCCAAGTGACCTACATGTACTATGATATACGCAGAATGGCAGTCACATTCCCCAAGTGAGGAAGATGTAAGGAAAAGAGTTCTATATTTGATGTCATAAGACTCGAATTTGAATCCCAGCTTTAAAACTTAAGGCAAGGCAATTTATCAGGCTTACTTTTGTCATCTATAAAAGGGGCTAATAATGCATTTCTCACAGAGGCACTGTGCCAAATAAATGTGATAAATTTATGTGAAAATGCCTAGCAGAGCTTGATACACAGTAAATGTTCCATAAGTATTTAGTTTTAGAGAAAAAAAACAAAAACTTGACTCTTGAATAGAAGAGATCTGACTTGTACTCTGGACTCTTAATTAAGCTGTCCTTAGGTTGATGCTTGGGAAGAGAAAAAGAAAACCCATGAACAGATGCTAGAATGTCGGAACAAAGAGCACAAATAAACATAATTACAAAACAAGGGGGTGCGATAATTGAGATATACAACTGTGACTTCTAAAGATACTGTTTCATTGCAAATACTCAGCTAGAAAATGGTCTCTGAACTTTTTTTTCTACCAGATTTTCTCCTTTCTCACACTTTGGTAATAAATGAAAACCTCTTTAGGAAGGAGTTCAAATTATTATTAAGCAAACAGTGAATCCTGACCCTCCTCTTAATGGCTGATTCAATTAATTTAATTTCAAAGTAGCAAATAATAGTTTAACTCTCAGAAGTATCTAGAATTTCTCATCTTCTCCATTCTTTCTGCCTAAGAGATGACTCAATATAACTGGATGTTATTTATAGGAATATTCAGTTTCTGCACTGTCTAACAGTTCACAGAATGATGGTTATCTGAATTTCTGAATCTTGAAAACTCTGAATTTTTGTTTCTGCTCCTTTAAATTACTTACTCCTTTTTTTCTCATACTCTCACCAGTTCTTATTTTTCTATAACCAGCTGGCCTCCTTGTAGTTCCCTCATGTAACCTGCTGCTTGTTTTTAAACATTTTGCCTTTTTATATAGCCTTTTTTCACCACCTGAAGCCTGTTCCTCTCTTTCTCAGCTTTTCACACTCCTGGAAGCCTCCAGAACAAAATACATCTTCTAAGAAGCCTTCTTCAAACTATTCTATTCTGACTCCTTGGCTTTGCAGTGTTTCTATTAAAGTAGGCTTTTTGTTCTATTTTTATTAGGTACACTTACAAGTTTCAGGCTATGCTTCAAATAATTTTAAGCTTCCACATACACATGAGATATCTACCATTTAAGTCTAAATTAGTCAACAAGAACCATGAGTTTTACTTTCTTTGTGTCTAGTACAAAGGGCTCTAAAAATATTTTAGACTATCCTCGTTATACAAAAATATTAATTTTTATTTTATCACAATTTTTTCATTCCTTAAACGATATCAAATTAATAGAAGTGGTCTATAGGACTCAAATCTATTGGCTTTTTTTTTAAAGTGGCAAAATGTGGCTATGAAATTATATCAATGTTTCATTCTAGAAAATGTTACTACAGAGGAAGCATATAATAATGTTTTAAATGAATTCAACTGAACAGAAAAATTCAGTGTTAATGTGAATAAGAAATAGATTTCTTATGCTCAAACAATATCTTTTATCTCAAAGCAGCAGATAATACTGCAATAATCTACATGGATACACAAACAACACTAAAGAGAGTGTTTTCTCAATAGCCAAAACATATCCAGCCCCCATATGAAAAAGGAAAGCTGTTAACTAAGAGCTCAACCAGCCTACTAAGTAATTTGAGCGTAAGAGGTGATCTTATTGAATTTGAGGAAAGGAGGAGCTACAGTTTACCATCTCATTTAAAATAGTGCAAAGAGTTTTATTTTAAAAGTTGCCTCTCTCCTATAGTTGGTCAACACAAGATTGGTCTGAAGAGTGACAGGCTCTTGTATTTTTAGTGAGGCTGTTTTGGGGAGTGGGATATGTCTGGAGATCTAACCCTATGGATTCCTTTTTGGGTAGTTAGGGAGAAACTGCTGAGTTCTTCAGTCTGCTGCATGGTGAACAGTTGTCTGTGTGCCAAGTGTGAGACGAATGGGCTGGGAAACAGCTGAAACGAGGCTCCTTCCACCCTGACCCCCAAAACAGGGTTTCTAATGGAAAGTCTCACAGACCCTTTACTGTAGTGGCACTACTGGGGGCAGCTATAATATTATCCTCATAATTCTACTATATAATAACAACAAAGAAAAAGAAGGTGAAGGGTCATTGTGCTTTGTCTTTAGAATTAAGATGGCTGTCTTCATCCTTACAGCATACTCTTAATTCTGAAGACACATCTTAATAACCTCTAAATAGTTCCAACAAAAGAGCCGTGTCAGAGGAATGAGCAGGCCCCAAGGTGTTTCAACTGGAGTGTTTTCATCTGCCTTTATTGCTCTATCCCTCTCCAGAATTAAGGCAATAACCTGTGATAAATTATTCAGGAACTGCTACAGGGATCAAAGCAAAATCATTCTGTTAAAGTGCTGTTTGCAACATTTGGCACTTAGTGCGAAAACTTTTAATGTGCGCATGCTGAAAATCAAGGATTTTAAATAATTTAACATTGTGGAGTTTTTACAAAAGGACTAAAGATAGCAGGTTCCTATTTAACTGCTTCTCTTTCTCTGAGAAGTTTTCATTCATTTTCCTTGAAACTGATGATGTCATGACCAAATCAAAAACGATGCACGAGTCAGGGGAGTACTGGACTATATTTTACCATGGACATAATTATAGGGGGAAACATACGTTTTGAAAGAGTACTCTAAAGCTAGGATTTGTCAGAGTATTTTTTCCTTTTCCCCTTTACTTTGAAGAGAAAAACCCAAGACAAAATTTCAATGTTTTCTTCAATTTTATTAAGAATAAGTAAGAAAATAAAGCTATAAATTTAACACTTTTGCTGCATTTCCTCCTCTAACAACTGTATTTCAATTTGGCAACACAGGTCCTTAATGTTTAAGTTTATCCTGAAATCTGCATTTGAAACTATCTATAAATAGGGAGTTAGAAAATGCTGGTAAGAGGTGCAAATTAAATGAATTTGGCAGTCCTGCGGCATTTTCATAGAGATATTTTAACAGCATCACCTCCTGTGGATTGGAATACTAAATACTTTATTGAAGAACAAAACAGAAATGTTTTTATCTCTAGTACTTGCAAAATGAAGTACCTGAAAGCACTTTTGCATGTATTATTTATTCATCGTGATAGAAAAATAGCCTTAACCTAATAAATTACATTTAAAAGCATTTAGTGCAAAAGTTTTGTTTATGATAAAGCAACAGATTTAGTTTTTTATCGGTAGCTTAAAGCACCAAGTTTTCTTTATACAAATTAGACAGATGGTGCTTACAGTAGAATTTACTAAAGGTCTGTCACAACAAATGCAGCCAAGCTGCATATTTAATCACTGCAGAATCTTGTCTACCTGCAGCTGCCAACTGCTAATCCAATTTCCCTGATAAATGTGGCAAGAGACACGATCAGCAATAAAGAGCATCTAACTCCATTTTCCTGCAGGGCGTCTTTTGATGAACATTTAGGACGGAAGCACGGAGTGCACTGTGTGGCCTTGGTTCGTGGCAGCTGCATGCATTCTGAGGCACAGTTCTCAGGTTACTCACTTAATTCTGCCACTATCATTACGTTGCTATTGATCTCAGTAGCTGTTGCCTACACAGCATTACTCTAGATGAAGCTGAATCAGGCAGTTATCATGCATCAAACTTGCTCAAAAGCCTGGAGATTTCCCCTTAATTACTTGTGATTTTATTTGCAAATACCGTTAAAGTGTAATCAAGCAGTCACTTTCCAGGGTCGTTAAGAACTTGCTGGTTTAGGGATATATCACTGGAACTCCATTAAAAATGACTCTAGGAAGATGGTTTCTATCAAACTAGATGGGATTACAACAAAATGGTCTTGGAATATAATGAAATCTTCAGATGAGACAGATGTAATTTTCATAAAGATGATGTTTTTCAACTTCACTGCTCCTTTTTGATAAAGGGCAGAAATAGCAACCTAAAAGCTGCAAAGATTTTGTTGGTCACTGAAAATATTTGGAAGACATCTAAAAGATACAGCTAACCTGAGTGGAAACTCTGGTGAAGAATTTCAGGAAGACTATAAACACAAACAGAATCTGTAAGATCCTTCTTTTGGTTTTAAAATTCTATAACTATAGCATGCTGATAAACATTAATTTCAAAAATTCTTTTAAATTAAGAGGTATAGCATTTGGCTGATTATTTTTTGGTAGAAGAATTACATAAAGATAATTATCAAAGGGTGTCATTTTTCTATTTGGCTTCTTACTGTTAGTTTTTTTGTTTTTGTTTTCTTTTTTTTGGTGAAGAGACACTATGCAAAAGATGGTTAATATTTCCAACATACTTCAAATAACTATGAAATATATGACTCAATTATCACCAACAAAGGTGTCTACATTCTCTGGAGTGCATTTATTAGTCTGTTAAAAATAATAATCAGTGTCAATTTATTTAATATTTCCCTGATACATTATAATTTCAGAAGATACTATTTCTATTTAGCAGTGCTTGTGCTTCCCATCCCCCTCCTTAAAATACGGGGCTGTTTTGTCACAGACAGCTTGCTACACTTAAGGATTTTACTAATAAAACATAATGTTGTCTTAGATATTATGACTGTTGCCACAGCTGAACTGACTTGTCAAATCAATCCTAATATGGCTCCCACAGGCACATAAAAACCTTATTTAGCTATCAGTTATCCTAATCACTTTGTTCCGTTTAAGAATGCAATACTTCAAGACCAGTTCCTATTTATACATATATGCCTAGCCATTTAATAAAGTCTTGATTTATATAAATTCTTGTTTAAAAAAATATTTAGAGATGTAGTGTTTTAGTATGTGTATGTTTGTGCATTCCTCCATATAGATCTGTTGTAACATAACAGTGCAGGATAGATGAGGGAATAGGGGTGTTTAAAGTGGTGTACCCACAAGAAATATCCTATTAAAGATAGTAACTGCCAGAGGAAACAAATCTATGTCATCTTATCATGAACTGACTGTCCAAAACTATTTGCTGACCTCAAAGTCCATTTGTCTAAGAAACTAGAAAAATGCTTAAATAAAAGTAAAAATTAAAGACATGCAATTGGGAAAGCAGGTCTGAGGAGGCAAAGAGTACACACAGATATGCAAAGCCCTTTTCTGGATCTAGATATCCTAGAAAAAACAAAACTGTCATTCCTCATATTTGGAAACAAACCCACCTTTACATCTTCTTGTTTAAAGTTGTTGTTGAATATTTGTAATACTGTTTCAAAAGCAACTGTAAGAGGCAGCATGAAATTCTCAAATTCATCCTCATCTTCACCTATCAGAGAAACAAAAGGGTCACTACGGTTTAAAATGCATAGAATTGTACATTGTCCTCAGCATTGAGTGCTTCATTTAGGCTTAGAAATATTCCCGAGAAGGGGTCAGCCTGCATTCACATCCATGCCACATTTTGTACTTTTGCTCACTGAATATTCTGGTGTTGTGCCTTCTCTTTTGCATCAAATGAAATAGCAAAATTACTTACCAGCCATTTTTTTTTTCCTGGTTCTTTAGTGGATCTAATAGACTCATGCCCCAGGCATCTCAGTCCTTTAGCTCCTAGGGCCCCTAGAGCTTCTCTAATGCCTCAAGGAAGACCACTTTCAAAGCCTCAGAGACGCAGTGTTTTTTTTTTCCCCCTTCTCTTTGGGTGCCAAGGCCCTAAAGGGCTCAAAGACTCAGGTGCCCAGATAGCTCTAAGTTATTATTCTCTTTTATTTATGTTCTTTTTAATTAATTTATCAAATAAATGGCAGGGAAACTTTTATCTGCCAAAAAGGATGGGGTCCCTTATGGGTCATTTGGATTTTAAATACATTCTCCATGGGTACACTTCTTACACTAAGCTTCCTTTTTTTTCTCTTTTTTTTTAAATAGAGAAGAGGGAAAAGAGACATTTCCTATTAACTTTTTACTTTAAAGGTAGACTGCAGTTTCCTCAAGGATTCTGTCAAAGCAGAATCTTCACTTCACACATGGATATGCACAATTGATAATTTATATAGTATTCTTTTTCAAAAGGGGTTTCTTTTAAATGAGAGATTGAATTCACTCATTCATCCTAAGTCACAGGGAGCTACGAGCTGCACTCTACTGAAGAAACAGGCAGAGAAAGGTTAAGTGTCTTGCTTAAGGTGGAATACTTAGTTGGAGGTGGAACGACATGGTTCAGACCTCCTAATTTCTATTCTAACAGTAGAGTTTTTCAATAGAGTATTAGAGAGGAAATGAGCTCAGAGAAGGTCCTCAAAGTTTGGTCCTTGACCTGGGAGCATCAACATCACTTGTGAACTTGTGAGATGTAAATGCCCAGGTTCCATCCCATATCTATTGAATCAGAAACTCTGGGGGTGGGTCCCAGCAATTTTGTTTTAATAGGCCCTCCAGATGATTCAGATGCCTGTGAATGTTCGAAAAACACTGGCATCTATAGTCATTTTTCAGACAAAGTAACGGAGGTCCTGGCAGGATCAAGATCTTTTGACTCTTAAGGAGTGGCTGATCTGGCTGACTCTAATCTTCTGTGATTTATCTCTTTCCTTCAATTTCACATTGTTTCAGGAGTACAACAGAATTGGGGACTTAGCTTTGTTACAAACAGATGCCAAAGGGCCAACAAATCTTTACTGGTGTGCCGTTCTAAACGAAGGTCAGTATCCTGAGTAAAGAGTAAGGCAGACCAAATTATAATCTCTTCTCTGTCAACTGGCTGTGTGACCAAGTGACTCCTCTTAGATACACTCTTCTCTGTTAACTGGTGATAACATAGACCTATACAGATGTTATTTTTCAAGGCCCAGGTGAAATAATATCTTTCCCAATGTCTAAGCTAAGCTTTCCTAAATCCCAATCAAGTTATCTCCCTTCTCCCTTTGGATTCCCATAGCATTTTGCCTGGCTTGTTTTGAGACGGAGTCTTGCTCTGTCATCCAGGCTGGAGTGCAGTGGCACGATCTTGGCTCACTGCAAGCTCTGCCTCTCAGGTTCACGCCATTCTCCTGCCTCAGCCTCCTGAGTTGCTAGGACTACAGGCGCCTGCCACAACGCCCGGCTAATTTTTTTGTATTTTTAGTAGAGATGGGGTTTCACCGTGTTAGCCAGGATGGTCTTGATCTCCTGACCTCGTGATCCGCCCGCCTCGGCCTCCCAAATTGCTGGGATTACAGATGTGAGCCACAGCGCCCGGCCGCCTGGCTCTTAACTATTGTACCGGTCTGCCTTGAATTGCAGATATTTAAGCATACATCTAATAATAGCAACAATAATACCACTTACATTATACCACAACTACCATCTGATCAGGGTTACTGCGGGAACTAAATGAGATAAAATTTATAAAGTATACATGTAAATTACTAGCTCTACTAGCTTACGCTGATAGTATCTTCGGATTAGCTTCTATGGCACTGAGACTGTGTATCTTTGAGTTTCTCAGTGAAGGAGAATTATGTAGGGCTCGGCAGTAAACAGGTCCAGGTGTCTGACTTTACCGTATATTATTTACCTTTGGATATTTTACTAATTACTCTGAGTCTCAGTTTCCTCATCTATAAAATAAGTATAAAAATACTTATCATTGAGGGTCACTGTGAAGATTAAATGTTATAATACATGGAAAACAGAAGATGCTCAATAAATATTAGTGGTGATACTAGCACTATAGTATTAGCACAGAATAGAGCCTGGCATTATTAGGGAAATACTGTGTTTAGATAAAAAGTAATTTCTCAATTAAGGTGAATTTTAGAACATCTTTATTTTCTTAACACTTGACATAGAATAATACAATAAATAATTGAAATATACATTATCAAATCCTAAATACATAAAATATATGCTCATTATACTTAAGCCATGTAATCTTACTCTTCTAAGATAAAGTATTTTCTAAATGTGGAATTATTAATGAGAACAGTGGTAACTACCACTGCAGGCATGTAATGGTGCTAGAAAGAATGGATGCTTTGAAATTACAAAGTTTATCTAAGCTTAGCTGGGAGCAGTGGTGAATGCTTATAATCCTACCTACTTGGAAGCTGGGGTAGGAGGATCCCCTGGGCCCAGGAGTTTGAGACCAACCTGGGCAACATAGTGAGATCTCGTCTCTTAAAAAAAAGAAAAAAAAGTTTATCTATGCTTGAATCCTGGCTCTGCCACTGTTAGCTGTCTGGTTTTGGATAAAGTCACTTTAGTCATCAAAGCCTTAGTGTGCTCACCTGTAATTAAGAGACATAATATTTACTTCATAAAGTTAGCCATGAGAATTAAGTAAATGACAAAACATCTGTAACCACCCCCTCGCCCCATCCCCCTGCTCAGTGTCTGGTACTTAATAAATGACAGCCATTAGCACTATTGTTGTCTTGAGTCTAACATGGACTTAGAGAGGTGATTACGGTGATCAAAAAAAGTATAACTGCAAGATTGCCAGCCCAGTGCCCTTCCTTTGGGAACAAAGTTTTCCAAGGTAAGGATGCTTGTTCAGAACAAAGACAAATTCAGACTTTTAACATTTCAACTCCTAACTTAATATTCTGAGCGACAGATAAAAAAACTTTCTGATTCCGTCTCTTTCTCCATTCAAATTTTAAGGCAAACAAGGATAGCAGGAGCACAAGAGACAAGCCACCAAAATGTGCAGGGAGAAGTCAAGGAGCAAATACTATAAATACAGTAATGTGAACAGCAATTCTACTTAACTGTCACTTCCTCAGAGAGGCCTTCCCTGACCACTCTATCTAAAATGGTAATCACAGTTCCCCTCCCGCCACATCACTTTCCAACCCCATAACCTGCTTTACTTTTCTTATGGGACTTACTATACTGGCCATTCATTGACATATTTATTCATTTGTTGTTTATCCTATTAGGACGTAAGTTCCCTGGGAAGGAAATTGTTCTATTTCCATCACAGAGTATCCCCAGTGCCTTGAATAAGGTCTGACACTCAAGAAATGTTTGTGGATTGACTAAATAACAGCTGTTATTCCTTGAGTGCTTACGCAGGCAATGGATTTGGTACTTTATTTGCTTAAAAAACACTTATGTGGCTCTTACTGTTTTCAAAGTACTGTTGCAAGTCATTACTGTTCAGAACAATCTCATGAAGTTGTACGATTTTCTTCATTTTACATGTGAGCAGAGAGACTCAAAGGAATTAGATAGCCTGCCCAACATCCTCCAGCTGGTAAATGTCAGCGAGCCAGGATTCCCAATCAGGTCTGCTTTACTCCCAAGCTCATGCTTTTCCAGGTCTCTGATAAGGTGGAAGGCATCAGAGATGGGGACTAATGTTATTGTCACAGAATCCTAAATTTGGAGCTGCATGAAGTCAGAAGAGAGTGAAGATCAGCCAGCTTGGTTCTGGTGAGGAAAATGGAATTCCTAGACAATCACTTGGGTTTAAAGTAGGCAAATATAAGACATTGGTGCATTATACTATAGAAATGTTTACGTTTTTAGTCAGCACTGTTCCTGTGATTGCAACGTGAAATGTTGTGCCACCAAAGCTGGAGAACTGGATATTGTTGTTTATATCATGCAAACAACTTTTACAACATTACTATTAGAGATTTTTCTAATCTGTATTACCATACAGGTATCATTTACTATTTCTGGTGCAAAAGGAGAAAACATGAGCTCACTTTCTTACAACTTCATATTCAAGTATGTAGTCATATATTTAGTGTTCCAAATGTATATATGATTATTTTATGAATAATAATTGAAGCTGTTAGTTTTTTTCTTAATAAGACAAAGGTACAGAAACCAATATGATTTGAAGGTAAAGTGCCAATTTATAGACTAATATTTTCATTGCCATCAGGAAAAGTAAATGTGAACATAACATTGTAAGTTCTCAGTCATGTATAGATAAAAATTATAAATTCCTTAGCTTTTAGGTAAAACCCAAAGCTAATCACCTCCGCTGTGTCTCTGAGAATATGTTTAAACAGAAAGTTATTCATTTTGTAAGTTCTAAACATTTTTTTTCCTTCAGAGACATCACATTAAAATATAAGAGTAACTGTTTTAGTATGTTGGCTGGCAGATATTTTGTTTGTAGGACATTTCATTTATTATTTTGTACAATTTAAAACCTCCAGGGGTGGAAATGTAAAATGCTACAACCATTGTTAATATGGTGTAGTCACTGTGGAAAACAGTTTGGCAGTTGCTTAAAAAATTAGAGTTGCCAGTTGACCCAACAATTTTACTCCTAGGTATCTACCCAAGAAAACTGTAAATATTTGTCCACACAAAAAGTTGTATGCAAATGCTCACAGCTGTATTATTTCATAATAACCAAAGGTAGAAAAAACTCAAATGTTCATCAACTAATGAATGGCTAAACAAAATATGGCACATCCAAACTACGGAATATTATTCAGCCATAAAAAGGAACAAAGTATTAATACATGCCAAAACATGAATGTGCCTTGAAAACATGCTAAGTGGAAGAGGCCAGATACAGAGGCCACAAATTGTATGATTCCATTTATATTAATGTCCAGAATAGACAAATCCATACAGACAGAAAACAGATTAGTGGTTTCCAGGGTTTGGGGGAGGGGAGAAGAGAAGCAATTACTTAATGGTACAGGGTTTTTGAGGGGGGTGATGAAAATGTTATAGAATTAGATAATGGTGATGGCTGCACAATTTTATGAATATTCTGAATATACTAAATACCAATGAATTACGTACTTTACAAAAGTGAATTTTATGGCATGTGAATCTAAAACAATAATACCAACAACAAAAATCTGGGTTTGCTCCCCCTCCGAAATGTACACAAAACAGTGAAACTTCTAATTTCCTTAAATTTGAATGCAAATAGCAGCTGGATTACTGGGGAGTTGGGGGAAGTGGGCAAGGAGAAGCAAGTAATAGAAATGATATGATAACTGTAAATGATGGTAGCCAACAGTTACTGAGGATTTACTGTATAAGTACTGTGTGAAACACTTTGGCAATTGTGATAAATCAATATGGCAGGTAGAATACGAATAATTACCCTCTCAAAGATATCCGTTCTAATTCTTGGAACCTGTAAGTATATTAGGTTATGTGATAAAGGGAAATTAAAGTTGCTAATCAACTGACTTTAAAACAGAAAAGTATTCTGGATTATCCAGGTGGGTCCAATGTAATCACAAGGGTCCTTAAAAGTGCAAGAGGGAAGCAGAAGTCAAAGAACCACAAAGATGGCAGCATGGGAAGGATTTGGCCTGACGCTGCTGGAGAAAGGGAGGCCATGAGCCAAGGAAAGCAGGTGGTCTCTAGAAGCCGCAAAAGGCAAAGGAACAGATTCTTCCTTAGAGCCCTGCTGACACCTTGATTTTAGCTCCCTGAGACCCATTTGGACATCTGACCTCCAGGATTATAAAATAATACATTAGTATCGTTTAAGCTACTACCTTGTGGTAATTTGTTACAGCAATAATAACAGAAAACCAATATAGTCAGTAAAGGTCAGCTTTATTGCCAACCACCCCCACCCCCCATTTTCATCTGAAATACAACCTGGGGCACATGGCATCTAATTAAATTCATACAAAGTGCAAATCACTGAGTAGAAACCAAAATGCATTTCAAAGTAAATACCAATTAATGTGACACCCAATTTCTTTCCCCCTTTCTAATCACTGCAATGTGCATGGCTTATATACAAGACATATTCAATTTATTTCTGTAGGATGCAATTAGAATGTTTTATATTTCCATCCAAGAATCACATCCAACACTTTTGCAAGAAAGTAGGTGTAATGAAGCTCTGGTCCAAACTAAGGAAAATTAAGAGGAGAGATAAACAAGGAGACATAGGCACTGGGCGAAGAAAATAAACCATTCAAAACCAAGTAACAATGGGCAATCTCAGAAGAGCTGATGACTTCTGCAGGTCTAGGCCCAGATCATCTGCTATTTCCCAATGCTTCATTAAGATACCACTTCTAAGTTATATTACAGTAAAACTTTGAGAAATGTGCTTAACTGGCCCCTGAAACTTGGGCCACAATTTGTTTTTCATTTCAGTTTCCCTCTAAATTGCTTAGGAGTGCTAGCTAGTTTTGAAATGACCTGTGGCTTCAGGCAGGTCAGGATATTTTAGTATGTGTTGGGAAGTGTCATCAGATCTTACTTCCACAGGAAAATAATAGCCCTAAATATTGAAGGCAGAGTAGATGGCATTAAGAGAGCCAAACTTGCCTCATTTTGAGGTCCCAGCAGTAGTCAATGCTTCTTCTAATAGTGCACTCAATAAACGTTTCTTAATATTTTCTAAGAACTTGCTTTGTGATAGGAATTGCTCTAGGCCTTTTTATGTATCTTTATCTTATTTAAACCACATGACAACTCTTCTACGTAGTTTTCTCCATTTAACAGAAGAGAAAACTGAGGTGCCCTTTAATTCTTCTCCCTAGGGAACCAGAGTGTTTATTTTAGTTCCCGGAAAAAAAATACACTGCCCACTGCAGACTATAGCTACCCATTTTCAAAGAATCCCACCCTAAAAGTCTCATCCATGAAACATCTCATTCCCTGGGGTGCTCTGGACTGTCTAGCCTCAAAACCAGGTAAGTTATTAAAACTGGATCTGGACTTAATGGGCTGCTTTCTGCCTACAGGGCCAGCTAATTAGTCTTAATTATCTCATTACAGATTTTAAGTATTTCCAGCTGCTTCTTTACCCCTTACTGCCCACTCCCCCATCCCCCCATGTCTATTTTTCAGATAATCTCTGCCAAGTCATGGACACAGTTGATACATTGATGTATTCTTCCTATCTATCAGCTATTTCTGATCAAGCCCCTCACTTGCTAAACCTTCCTGAGATATCCACCTCTGTGTTCCTTTATCCATGAGAAGAAATACGCTTTGGCCAATTATTAGGCATAAGAACAAATTTTAAAAACTACATTTGACTTTCACTCACCATCAAACTATAATATACCTATACAGAACAAACAATAAACATGCATCTATCTGTTTATTTCATAGACGCTTAGAAAGTAATCATTTCTCATTTTCTTTCACTGCCCCCAAGCCCCAAATCAATCATTTGGACCAAATAGTTCAAATAAAAATGAAGGAAAAAAGTTGTATTTCTCCACTGGTTGATAAGGTGAAAGATGAAGTAATAGTTTAGTAAAAGTGGATGAAAATATGTGGTCAGAGGGCCACTACATACATGGCTGACCTTGGGCAGGTCATTTAATCTCTATGAACCTCAGTTTTCTTTTCTTTTTTTTTTTTTGAGACGGAGTCTCGCTCTGTTGCCCAGGTTGGAGTGCAGTGACGCGACCTCGGCTCACTGCAAGCTCCGCCTCCGGGGTTCACGCCATTCTCCTGCCTCAGCCTCCCGAGTAGCTGGGACTACAGAGACCCGCCATGACGCCTGGCTAATTTTTTGTATTTTTAGTAGAGACAGGGTTTCACCATGTTAGCCAGGATGGTCTCGATCTCCTACCTCGTGATCCGCCTGCCTCGGCCTCCCAAAGTCCTGGGATTACAGGCGTGAGCCACTGCGCCCGGCCTCTGAACCTCA
This sequence comes from Homo sapiens, assembly GCF_000001405.40. Lineage (NCBI taxonomy): Eukaryota > Metazoa > Chordata > Mammalia > Primates > Hominidae > Homo > Homo sapiens. The sequence continues at coordinate 171,191,395 of NC_000005.10, read as the reverse complement.
GTTTTCTAACAGATAAACAATGGAATAATACCTATTTAATGTGGGCAGGCGGATCAAAAAGGATAAATGCCTATGAAAGTGGTTTATAAACTATATATTTTTAAACAAATGTTAACTATTATTAATAAAGAAAAAAATTCCTTCCTCTGTGTTTTTATTTCTATCTTTAGTAGCTATTTCTAGAATACTCTTCCCTTGTTATTCAAGTCATTCGTCATTCAAGATTTCTTAAATTTAAGCTAGTGATATCTTCAGATGCCAATTACCTCTTATAAGCCAAAGTATATGGATACTGTGCTACCCTCACCCCTAAAGATAGAACTATCTCTTTACATCCATAAACATCATTTTAATATTAGTATCCCCCTAGTAATTAAAAATATGACTGTTTCTTAGAGTTTAAATACCCGAGGAATGCATTGCTCACTCAAATCCTATCCACGTGCTTCTCATCTAAGTAGTACAACATAAGATGCAATCATGAAATGTCCAAGGAAAAATCAACCATTGGTGACACTGAGCACTTCCAAATTTGTGGCTGGTAAAAACTTAATTTGCAAATAATAATTTTGGTTCTTCACCAAATGAAAAGCGTTGTTATAGTGCCTTGCCACACCTACCCTCTTCAGTATTTGTCAACTAAATTCACCTGCATTCAAATGAAACAAAATAGAAGATTTTTATTTATTCAAGTATTTTATACTGAATAGCTCCCTGGAGGGTCTCCATTTACTGGCTCGGGTAATACTATCTTTCCTTTAGTTTATTAGATCGACCAAGTTAATTTTAAATAACCTAGGGAACTTGAAGTGATTCTTGGAAGGGCTAACACACATGCACATCTGGTTGGTCATCCATTTTTTTCTGCACGTGAAGGGATTTTCTGCATTCATTTTGATCATTTCTTCGAACACCAAAAAAACCTGCCAACATCTCTCACATGTTTTGAAACACCACTATTCTAATGATGAAATGCTTTCAATTCTGTTCTTTATGCAAGTGAACATTTTGTCTAGTTTAGCTAAAGCAATCCGATAAAATGGTACAACTGTTTATTGCCAACCACCCCCTGCCCCGCCGCCATTTTCATCTGAAATACAACCTGGGGCACATAGCATCTAATTAAATTCATACAAAGTGCAAATCACTGAGTAGAAACCAAAATGCATTTCAAAGTAAATACCAATTAATGTGACACCCAATTTCTTTCCCCCTTTCTAATCACTCCAATGTGCATGGCTTATACACAAGACATTTTCAATTTATTTTTGTAGGATTCAATTAGAATGTTTTGTATTTCCATCCAAGAATCACATCCAACACTTTTGCAAGAAAGTAGGTGTTTTTTTTTCTGTGATTCTTATCCCCACTCCCACTCTCCAAAATCAGTGATATAAAAAGTTTGTCTTTTTTTTTTAATTTGAGGAGGATCCTCATTATCTAATGTTTTTATTTTTTTCATTTAATATATGAATCTATGCTGCTCTTGACAACAGCACTATCTTTTTCTTCCTTGTTTCCATGACAATGAACACACAATAGAAAACTATCAAGCCATATATACAGAAATTCTGACAGCCATGTTCCAGTCAACCTAGTTTGTGAGACAAGGCTTCAAATAATAAAAACTGTGTTCAACAACGCTCAACAAATCATCGTCTATAAAGTAATAACACTCTGAACAGAGAGCAACAAGAGACTAATCGGGCACAAGAGTGGCCAAGTGTAGCTAATCACTTGTGAAAGTAATCAGCCACTTGATTTGTTTTGTCTTGGGAGAGGCCAATGATCAGAGCTACTTCCAGAAAGAACCTGGCAGCCAGAGCTGATTCCAGGAGCCACAATGACGGTGTCTTGGTTACTGTATACTTGTTTGTCATTCATTCAACAAGCATTTACTGAGCATCTGCAATGTAAAGACCCTGACTGGTGCTAGAAAAATATAAAAAAGATAGTCCATACCTTGAAGGTGCCCAACATAATTTTGGGAAGAAGAATAACTCCAGTTTTTAACAACAGAAAGCAGCTCTGGTAGTTTACACAACAAATCATACTTGATGCTTTTAATCATAACTTGATGCTTATCACATACATTTCATTATTTTAAAAAGTAAAAATTACTGATAAATAAGGAAGGAGTTTCTTTTCAAACATGTGGAAGTTCTATGAGGGTAGCTACTATGATTTTAAATTTTATTTATATCCAGATTCAACTGACTTATATTGAGCACCTACCATGCACCAAGCACTTCCACCATAGCCTCTTTCTGTTTCTCTCAAGGTGTCTAAAAAGTGCTTGTAATGCAACAGATATTTACATTTAAAAAAAAACTTTGAACTAAAAATGTGAATTTATTCTTTATACTGTTATGGGTTAAGTATTTCAAAGGAATAGAATCCTGGGTAAACTAATAAAATCCAATTATTCAAATTATATGTGTTTATTTCAGTTTCTCATACCTCATAGTTTACATTAAGCAATACTAAATAAGAGCAAATTTGCTTTCCAAAAAGTGTGCAATGTCTTTCTGGGCATCATCATGAATATCAATTATCAATGCAGTAATAAGTACAGTAGTACTGAGAATACAGAGTTGGGGCTGTGTGCAGGCTCCGATAGTGCTATCCTGTTGTTTAACCTACCACAGATACATAGTGGGTTCCCTATCTGTGATGACCATATCAAAAAGGAAATGTTAACCCATTCCATTTCCAGGTTCTGAAAATGTGAGTGACACGGACCTAGTTTTAAAAACTCTCCTCCAGATACTTCTCTTTTTGGTCTCCCCACTTCTTTCACTCTGTGTGACCGTGTTATTAAAAGAGCATTTTTAAGGCCTGGGAAATAAATTAAGTCCAGACAAATGTTTCAAGGTCTCTTTAATGCTTGGACAACTGGGAAAGCAAGAAGACAAGCTCCTTGAGGCCAGGACCCAGTATGCCTGATTCATCTTTGTCTTGCCCTCAGAGTTTAGCACACTGTGCTTTCTAAATGATTGTCAAGGGCAATGACACAGTCTGGGGCTGCGCCTCTTCTCACCAACACAGCAGCCAAGAGGTAAAATAGGCCAGGATGCAGTACGAAAAGCTGTCACTCAGTTACATCTCCGACTTGCCTAAGGTAGCAGATGATTGGGTTTTGCATGCCTGGTTTACGCTCTTCAAATATTTATAGATAGTTCTCTTTGCCTCCAGCCCTAGTTGTCACTTAGCCAAGTTATACATACATGGTTCTTTTAATCTTTCCTTAGAAATCAATCCCACTAAGCTCTTTAATCATTCTAGTTGCATGTCTCTCAACTTTTTGGCAGTTTGTCTTTCTGGTGATTTAGTCTGTGGAAAAGCATGAAAAAAAAGCAAGAAACATAGAGGGGTGTAGTCCCCTTTCCATTTAAAAATTCAATGCCTTTTATGGGCAAAAAAATTATTTTTCTTCTGTTTGTATGAACACATTTTTAAAAATTCATATTTAAGTTGATGTAGTAATAGACTTCAAGAGAAACAAAGAAAAAAGTATTATTGGTATTGTCTAAGGATGATATTGCCACTGACTGAACCCTCTCATGTATAACTGGTCTAACCTGCAGTATTCAAATATGAGAAATGGGAGTCTAGAGTAACATGGTCACTACAAAGAAGCTTAAGTACCCATCCTAAGGTACTGCCTATCTGTAAATACTTCTCACTAACTTTAGCTTTTTAGTAACAAATTTTAAAAATAAGTTAATTTTTACCATTATAAAAGTAATACACTAAAAAAATTCAAATGATCAGAAATAGAAAAAATTACCTACATGCTACAACCCAAAGTCGACATTTAGCATTTTTAATTATTTTTTAAATTTACAGATAAAATTTTATGTTATTTATTGTATACAACATGTTTTGAAGTATATAGACAGGCATACCTTGTTTTATTGTGCTTCACAGATACCACACTTTTTTTTTTTTTAAACAAATTAAAGATTTGTGGCAAACCTGAGTCGAACAATTCTATTGGCATCATTCTGCCAACATCATGAACCTACTTCGTGTTTCTGGGCCACATTTTGATAATTTTCCTAATATTTCAAACTTTTTTCATTATTATTATATCTGTTATGGTAATCTGTGCCCTTTGATGTTATTATTGTAACTGTTGTGGGGCACCACAAATTGTGCCCTTACAGGGTAGCCAACTTAATTGATAAATATTATGTATGCTGACTGCTCCACAAACCGGCCATTCCTTTGTATCTCTCCATCTTCTCAGGCCTCTCTATTTTCTGAGACACAACAATATTGATATTAGGCCAATTAATAACCCTGTGATGGCCTCCAAGTATTCACGTGAAAGGAAGAGTTACACGTCTCTCACTTTAAATCAAAAGCTGGAAATGATTAACCTTAGTGAGAAAGACATGTCAAAAGCTTTAATAGGTCAAACGCTGGGTCTCCTGCACCAGTTAGCCAGGTGATGAATGCAAAGGAAAAATTATTGAAGAAAATTAAAGCGATTAAATTAAAATGCCAGCAAAAACACACAATGAGAAAGTGAAACAACCCTATTGCTGATATAAAGAAAGTTTCACTGGTCTGTATAGAAAATCATACCAGTGTTGGGAGGCCGAGGCGGGCGGATCACGAGGTCAGGAGATCGAGACCATCCCGGCTAAAACGGTGAAACCCCGTCTCTACTAAAAATACAAAAAATTAGCCGGGCGTAGTGGCGGGCGCCTGTAGTCCCAGCTACTTGGGAGGCTGAGGCAGGAGAATGGCGTGAACCCGGGAGGCGGAGCTTGCAGTGAGCCGAGATCGCACCACTGCACTCCAGCCTGGGCGACAGAGCGAGACTCCGTCTCAAAAAAAAAAAAAAAAAAAAAAAAAAAAGAAAATCATACCAGTGATAACATTTCCTAAGCCAAAGCCTAATGTGAAGCAAGGCCCTAACTCTATTCTATGAAAGCTGAGAGGTGAGGAAGTTGCAGAAGAAAAGTTGGAAGCTAGCAGAGGTTGGTTCATGAGGTTTAAGGAAAGATGATGCCTCCATAACCTAAGAGTGCAAGGTGAAGCAGCCAAGTGCTGATGGAGAAGCTGCAGTGAGTTATACTGAAGATCTAGCTAAGACCATTGATGAAAGTGGCTGCACTAAACAGATTTTCAATGTAGATGAAACAGCCTTTCATTGGAAGAAGATGCCATCTAGGACTTTCATAGCTACAGAGGAGAGGTCAATGTCTGGCTTCAAAGCTTCAAACACCAGGCTGACTCTCTCATTAGGGGCTAATGCTGATGGTGACTTGAAGTTGATGCCAGTGCCCATTTGCCATTTTGAAAATCCTAGGGTCCTTAAGAATTATGCTAAAATCTACTCTGCCTGTGCTCTAGAAATAGAGCAACAAAGCCTGGATGACAGCACATCTGTTTACAGCATGGTTTACTGAAAATTTTAAGCCCACTGTTGAAGCCTACTGCTCAGAAAAAAAGATTTTGTAAGGCTCTAGGCTGCCACAGATAGTGATTCCTCTGATGAATCTGAGAAAAGTAAATTGAAAACCTTCTGGAAAGGACTCACCATTCTGGATACCACTAAGAACATTTGTTATTCAGTGGGGAGGTCATAATATCAACATTAACAGGAATTTGGAAGAAGTTGATTCCAACTCTCATGGACGACTCTGAGGGGTTCAAGACTTCAGGGCAGGAAGTAACTGCAGATGTGATTTAAATAGCAAGAGACCTATAATTAGAAGTGGAGCCTGAAGATGTGACTGAATTGCTCCAGTCTCATGAAAAAACTTGAATGGATGAGGAGTTGCTTCTTCTGGATGACCAAAAGTGGTGTCTTCAGATGGAATCTACTTGTGGTAAAGACGCTGTGAACATTGTTGAAGTAACAAAAGATTTAGAATATGACATAACCTTAGTTGATAAAGTGGCAGCAGAGTTTGAGAGGATTGACTCCAGTTTTTAAAGAAGTTCTCCTGTGGGTCAAATGCTAACAAACAGCATTGTATGCTACAGAAAAATCTTTTGTGAAAGGAAGTCAATTGATGCAGCAAATTTCATTGTCGTCTTCTTTTAAGAAATTGCCACAGCCACCTCAACCTTTGGCAACTACTTTGATCAGTCAGCAGCCATCAATATCGAGGCCAGACCTTCCACCAGGAAAAAGATTACAACACACTGAAAGCTCAGATGTTTGCTAGAATTTTTTAGCAATAAAATATTTTATTTATTTTTATTGTTTTTTGAGATGGAGTTCTGTTCTTGTTGCCCAGGCTGGAGTGCAGTGGCACGATGTCGACTCACTGCAACCTCTACCTCCTGGGTTCAAGCAATTCTCCTGCCTTAGCCTCCCAAGTAGCTGGGATTACAAGGTATTTGCCACCATGCCTGGCTAATTTTGTATTTTTCGTAGAGACAGGGTTTCACCATGTTGGTCAGGCTGGTCTCGAACTCCTGACCTCAGGTGATCCACCCGCCTCAGCCTCCCAAAGTGCTGGGATTACAGGTGTGAGCCACCGCACCTGGCCGCAATAAAGTATTTTAAATTAAGATATGTACATTGTATCTACATCATGACATTACACACTTAATAGACTACAGTACAGTAAGTTTAACTTTTATATACACTAGAAAACAAAAACGGTGTGACTTGCTTTACTGTATCACTTTATCATGATGGTCTGGAACTAAACCTGCAATATATTTGAGGTACATATGTATGATGTAGAGTAACTAAATCTAACTAATTGACAAATGCATTACCTCTATAGTTACCATTTTTGTGGTGAGAACCCTTAACATCCATTCTCTTAGCATTTTTCAAGAATACAATATATTGTTATTAACTATAGTCACCATCTACGTACAACAGATCTCTTATTCTTTCTACCTGAAACTTTGTATCTTTTGACCAGCATCACCTCAAAGTCCTCAGCTCTTAGTAACCACCATTCTACTCTCTAGTTCTATGAGATCAACTTTTTTAGATTTCACATATGAGTGATATCATATAGTATTTGTCCTCTGTGCCTGGCTTATTTCACTTAACATAGTACCCTCCAGGTTCATCCACACTGTGGCAAATGGCAGACATTTTTCCTTTTTTATGGCTGAATAGTATCCCACTGTGTATATATACCACATTTTCTTTATCCATTCATCTGTGGATGGACACTTAGGTTGATTCCGTATATCCTGGCTATTGTGAATAACGATGCAATAAACATATGGGAATGCAACTATTTGATATACTCATTTCATTTCCTTTGGATACCTATACACCCAGTAGTAGGATTGCTGGATTGTACAGTCATTTTATTTTGAATTTTCTGAGGATCCTCTACACTGTTATTCACAATGGCTGTACTAACCATTTTTGAAGAATTTCACTTAAGCCTTTTCTGAAGTATTGTCCCCCCATCCCCAACATACATGATCATACCATTTGCACCAGTGTAACACTTTGCCTTTTCACTTAATGTTATAATATAAAATTTCATGTATTGCCTTGTCTTTAAATCTTCATTTTTATTGCGTGCCAATCATTCTACAAGTAAGTAGGCGTGCCATAATTTTACAATTCCCTACTGTTGGACAGTTACATCATTTCTACTTTTTCTCTAGTTTAGACATCACTATGACGAAAATCTTTGTGTGTAAAGTTTTTCTCTGTTTAAGATTATTCCTAGATTCATAGCAGTAAAATTAATGTGTCAAAGGATAGGCAGAAAGTAAGCTGTGAGGTAAAAAATCAGTGCAAGTGTTATGTGAAGTGAAAAATGCCACCTTAAGTACAAATATTTGTCTTTTGGCTCTAATGCTAACAAGTGAACACTCAAATCTTAGAAGGTTGTAGAAAACTGTCAGAAGACGCTAATTCTAATAAGTTAAATGTTGTACCCACTAGTACTCCACTTCTTTATTCACACAAGTGTATTGCTGATCCCTTATTAATTGAGTTTAAATTCTTAACCTTACCCAGATCTACCATCAGAAGGCGAGTGAGCGCTGTGTAGAAGGTTGTTCGACACCTGAAGTCGCTGAGACTATGATTGTCACTGATGCCAAGAAAAGGGAAGTGTTCACTCTAATGAAAGCAAAAGAGTAATCCAAGTTACTAACACTTTACCTCAACTATTCGTAAAATGTTATTCATTAATTAAAGAAATAAGACTTACCGTGTGGTTTTTTAGCATGAATTTCACAGCATCTATCTTCACAAGTTTTTTTAAAAGGATATAAGTAATAGAAGTTAAGGAATCTAAGGAAATATATTTGTAATATCAGTATGTAATAAATCACAAAGTAACAGTGAACTGTAGTGGCATCAATTTCTACTTATAAAAAAATATAATTTCTAAAGAGCATTCCTATAGAAACGTCTTTCCTTCTGTTAAGAATGATAATCTATTATTAACCAATGCAATTACTTTTTCTATCTTATACATATTCTAGTTATGGAAAGAAAGAATGAATTTTATAATTAAGACAAGAACTCCTTTACTATTAAAGTCTTGATAGTGGAAAATTAAAACTGATCCCTTTTTATATTTTGGGTGTAACTTACGAACTTCTACTTACTTAATGTTATTTCATAATGAAATAATTTTATAAAAGACCCATAATAGGCTATCAAAAAAGAGAAAATTATTCAATTCTAAGAAATAGTGAGCTCTCTTGGTAGAAACCTAAGATCAGAATATAATTAGGAGGATATAGCAGACTGCATGTCATCAAGTATAGAAGGACAGCTTAAAGGAACTAATATTTCTCAAGTGCCTAGTACGTAAAAGGCATTTCCATATGTTAATTCACCTAATCTTCACAATTACACTGTTAAGTATTATTTATTATTTTTAGTCCATAAATAATGAAACAGGAGCTAAGAGAAATTAAGTTGCTTGCCCAAGATTATACAGCCATGGATTGACAGTGCTGAGATTTGAACTGTAGTTTGGTTCCAAAGGCCATGTTCTTTCTGCTGTACCACATTATCATCTGAACAGTTCAACTTAGAAGGAGCATAAAGTTAAGAAATCGGAAACATGAATACAAGGACTAAATAATTTCAGGTATGATGTGGATTCTAAACACATCTAGTCAGTATGCAAATACCCTCTTCTCTTACTCTACCATAGTCATGTGTTTTCTACCACAGCTAGAGCATCTCTCGGCCATTCCCTAATACCTACTCACGCCTTTCTTGAAGGCTGTAATAATCTTATATGGCTCCATTGATGTTACAAGGAAAATACTGGCTTTCTTTTTCCTTCACATCATCTCCAAATACATGCCTCAGTCTATTGCCTCTGCACAGGGGCACTGAAAAGCATAATTCTAAATGTTAGTCACTCAGGCATGGGTATCAAAGAGTGGAAAACACATTGGAACATGAGTCAGGAGACCTAGGCTTGACTATACCAGTCAATGAATCCAAGTAATAAACCTAGCCTGTCTCAGCCTTAGTTTCCCTCTCCAAGAAATGAGGATGAAACCTATGCCCAAGCTACCTTACAGGATTGTTTTGAGGATCAGATAATGCAAATGTCTTTGCCAATTATCAATCACGGAAAAAGAAAGATGCAGAGAATTCACACAACGTGTGCAACTTGCAAGGCTAATTTTCACAATTCCATGAGATAGGTAGCACATCACTTATATTTTTCAGGTAAGGAAATAAACTAAAAAAAATTAAATAATTTTTCAAAAGATAAACAATTAGTATGATTTATACTCAAGTTCCTCTGATTCCAAAGCAACCATTCCAGTTGCATATGAAGCATGTATGTTTGGCTTAGCCATATACCTGCTTATTTAAAATATACATCTACATTTCAGCATGTATCTGTATTAGACAGTAAACTTTCTAAGGGCAGGGACTACATCCATGGATTTTCCCTATTGCACTGCTCTCAGCAGGTGCTCAGTGCACTGTGTTTTTCTTTTTTTTTTTTTCTGAGACAGACTCTTCGCTCTGTCGCCCAGGCTGGAGTGCAGTGGCGTGATCTCAGCTCACTGCAACCTCTTCCCGCCCAGGTTCAAGTGATTCTCCTGCCTCAGCCTCCCGAGTAGCCAGGACTACAATCATGGGCCACCACGCCCGGCTAATTTTTTGTATTTTTAGTAGGGATGGGGTTTCACTACGTTGGTCATGCTGGTCTTGAACTCCTGACCTCAAGTGATCCACCGTGCCTGGCCACAAAGCACTGGGTTTTTCTGGCAGGCTGCAGGGCAACAAGATCAAGGCTGTCAGGTAGCAAGTTTTTCCTTGCCTCCAAAGATGCAGATTTGATGATTATTCCTAGTGTCAGTCACTGGGCTGAAGACCTGCCACTCAAACTTCACTCAGTTAAACTGGGGTGGGATCAATAAACTTAGAAATATCTTAAGTAATTACCAAATAGAATTCTCTTAAAATTGCGAAGTTAAAAGTGACAGGGTCTATGGGTAATAAGAATGCTGCCATTAATAGGAATCTTCCTGTCAGTGCTGTTAATAAACAGCAAGTCATGTTTTGACAATAGAATATTTATGAAAGCAATAAACAGAACATTCACAGGAAGAATCTCATCTGTCAAAGACACATTTTCTGCAGAACGGCATCTGTGCACTTTGTACCAAGGCCAGCCTCACTGCCTTTTAATTACATTCTAAAGAAAAAAATGATTAAGAATTTTTATATTTTTCAATAAAGAAAAAAATGAGAGTTCATCTGAATATTTATGTTATCTTATAGAAATCCAATTCAAAGCTAGTTCTGGCTCTTAAGTGGGTCTGTAATGTTAAAAAAGGCAAATGAACCCATCATCTTTATGATCTTTACACTCTGATCTTATTCTTCTCTAAGAGACTAGGGTTCTTCTGAGTTGTGCCATTTTGGCTGGGTGGAGCACTAGATAAATTATGGCAACACTAGGTTAGACTTCAGAGGTCTATTCAAAACACCTCTTAGCAGTAAATCTGGTAATGGTGGTAACAGTAACAGTAGCAACAGTACTAGAAGTCTTGAGAGTAACATTAATATAGGAAATGTCACACATGGAACATGTCAACAGAAGAGTCACGATTCAAATCCAGATCTGTCTGACTCTAAAACATAGGGTCTTTTCACTAGGCTATATCAGATCCATTTGATTTTAAAGAGGCTAGTTCTCCTCCAGAGATCATTTGCTTCTTGAAATACAATTGAAATCGGAATCAGGTCCCAGAAGGGACAGGGAAACATTTTATTTTAGGAGGGACCAATTCATTAACGAGCCAGCATCACATCCAGGATTGAGCAAACTCTATAGTCTGGCTGGCAGTAACCCATTAAACTAAATTCTCAGAAAATCCCTGTCTCTAGCCATGTGGTTATGAAAACATCGAAGAGGGTGAAGACAGTCTTATTGATAGCTAGGATGACACATGAAGAAAAACAAGAAAAGAATCTCATAGATGGCTGAAAATTCTGAAAATCTATATCTTTTGAAAAGGAGGATACTAAATTGAGAATGAACTGCTTTCTTAGGTTACAGGAGTACTACACAATTCAGTAGCTGCTTGACACAGTAACACCAAGTATGACTTCAATTCACAGTACCAGGCCTTTTCTGAGTATTTACCCCATTTAATCAAATCTAAAACACCACTGATTGTAAAACAAAAAAACCACTATAATATGTACTACTAAGAAAAAGTACTTAAAAATACCATCAATTATAAGATATATCCTATTTACAAAAGTGTAAAGACGTGAAAAAATTTCATTTAGAATTATATTAGTGTACTAGATACATGATATTCACTAAGTACAAGAGAGTGGGTAATCATACTGAATCTGGGCAAATATTTAAAAGTCATACATGTTCATAGACACTTTTTGCAGACAGAGTTAGATCCTGATGAAAGAAGAAAGTTCACAGATGACAATATTACATGTCAGAAATTGCTGTACTTAGGTTATATGCACAAAGTAGAGTAACTGAAATGTAAGTTTAGTTATCTCAAAAGTGGAATTTTGCTCATGAACCCTACTAGACACACACACAGACACACATATACACACACACAAACAGACAAAATTCCTTTTAAGCAAATATAAAGAAAAGAATAGGAGGAAGAACTACCCATTATAAAAGTACTAAGGGAGACTATATAGGCCAAAAACTATACTAATTAGTTATCCTCATATGATACCTGGCCATTTCTGATAATTTGGGTAATAACATCAATATTTATTCACAAGATGGACTAAAGACTTAAACATAAGACCTAAAACCATAAAAACCCTAGAAGAAAACCTAGGCAATACCATTCAGGACATAGGCATGGGCAAAGACTTCATGACTAAAACATCAAAAGTAATGGCAACAAAAGCCAAAATTGACAAATGGGATCTAACTAAATGAAAGAGCTTCTGCACAGCCAAAGAAACTATCATCAGAGTGAACAGGCAACCTACAGAATGAGAGAAAAATGTTTGCAATCTATCCATCTGATGAAGGGCTAATATCCAGAATCTACAAGGAACTTAAACAAATTTACAAGAAAAAAACAAACAACCCCATCAAAAAGTGGGCGACGGATAGGAACAGACACTTCTCAAAAGAAGACATTTATGTGGCCAACAACCATATGAAAAAAAGCTTATCATTACTGGTCATTAGAGAAATGCAAATCAAAACCACAATGAGATACCATCTCATGCCAGTTAGAATGGTGATCATTAAAAAGTCAGGAAACAACAGATGCTGGCAAGGCTGTGGAGAAATAGGAATGCCTTTACACTGTTGGTGGGAGTGTAAACTAGTTCAACCATTGTGGAAGACAGTGTGGCAATTCCTCAAGGATCTAGAACCAGAAATACCATTTGACCCAGCAATCCCATTACTGGGTATAAACCCAAAGGATGATAAATCATTCTACTATGAAGACACATGCACGCGTATGTTTATTGCAGCACTATTCACAATAGCAAAGACTTGGAACCAACCCAAATGCCCATCAATGATAGACCGGATAAAGAAAATGTGCACATATACACCATGGAATACTATGCAGCCATAAAAAAGGATGAGTTCATGTTCTTTGCAGGGACATGGATGAAGCTGGAAACCATCATTCTCTGCGAACTAACACAGGAACAGAAAACCAAACACCACATGTTCTCACTCATAAGTGGGAGGTGAACAATGACAACACATGGACACAGGGAGGGGAACATCACACGTCAGGGGCCTGTCGGGGGGTGGGGGGGTAGGGGAGGGATAGCATTAGGAGAAATACCTAATGTAGACGATGCATTGATGGGTGCAGCAAACCACCATGGCATGTGTATACCTATGTAACAAACCTCCATATTCTGCACATGTATCCCAGAACTTAAAGTATAACAAAAAAAAAAAAACCACATAAAAAATCCAAATAGGTATAACAACGATGAAGCATCTTAAGGGATACTAATAATTATTTACAAGGAACAGGAGTTAAGTCATAATCACTCAACAGAAGGGGCAACAGTAAGTTCTAAATGCCCACTGTATGAAGTTTTGAAACTATAAAGGAAGGGAAAACAAGTCTTAATCTCTAATAATTTACAATCTAATAGGAGACAGGACCAGCAAATACTAAACTATATTACATTCATACCCAGATATGTAGATTGAAAACAAGGTGTTCACAAACATTAAGAAAAATAAACCACGACTTGAAAGAAAATGAAGGGAATTAACATTTAGTATTAAAGGACTAAGGATTAAGCTATTTCATGATGGCTTTACTAAGTCTTTAGCCAAGACTGAAAAATTGAATAAACCTAGTTGAGTTACAGTGTGTCAAATGAGGGAGAGTGGCAAATGTGGTGATTCAGTGAAAGATAATGAAGGTTATCAAGGGGTAGGTAAAATAAATTTCCTTGGCCCAAGTATAAAGTACAAATTGTGGTCTAATGGAGTATCAGGAAGTTAGCTATGGGAACTCAGTAAGTCAAGTACGGTCAAAGGACTCAAATTTAAGTCAATACTTTTGCTTGACCTAAGAAGCAGGTGGAAGAGATTGTGGGCTTTTGGGAAGAGAAATGATCAGATCAAAACAATACTCAAGGTACGTAATTTTGTGAAACAAAAATCTAAAGAACTTGGTGAAGGTCTAAATAAGGGGGCTACAGAAGAGGAATAGGGAGGATTCTACACCTGATTCTAGTATTCAAACAAACAGAGGAGATAAATTATGGGATGACTTTTCTGTAGCTGATAAAGACAGAAAACAATGAAATAAATCAACATTTCCTCTGATAAAAAATGCTAATAGAAGTATGCCTGAGGGATGTAAGCTGAAACTAGTTTTATTTAACATTCTCACAAACCATCTGGAGATGGTGGTATTCAGTAAAATAAAGCAATGCATTTTAATACTGTTTCACAAAAGCAGAAATATTACTGTTTATTGCTAAATAGTTCCTGTAACAGACATAAACAATTTTAATTTCATCCATCACCCTTGTTTCATTCTTGCCCTTTGCTTCATCTCTCATCCTCTACTCTTTCCTGACACCTACCACATTCAGGATTCACACCCAAATGGTGGGAAGGTCAGAAACAGATGTGAGGATGTCTGGTTTGCACATTACTTGGTAAGTTTAAAAGCTGCATACTTAATGGTTTATCTATAAGCTTATGTCTAAATGACCTCGAATAAAAGGGGCTCCCTCAAATCAGCCATATCACAATGTCACATACCCACATTATTTTTAATGTGTAGATTTTCAGAAAATTCGTATGTAATTTATCTGAGTTAAATTTAAACAGAAGAAATAGAAACTATATTAATAAAACAACTGACTTTAAGCTCTTTGGAGAAATATAGAAAAGGAAGTTTGCAATCAGTGTCAATTCTGTTAGAATTTAAAATCCACGAGGGCAGGGTCTGTGTTTTATTTGTTCTTTTGCCGTGTACTTAGCAAATGCTTAATAAATATTTGCTGAATTGAAAGAGGTCAATAAGATTCAAGATGAGTATGGAATTAAATTTAAAAATCACTATTTTAGTCTTACTAAATGTTAACTCTAGATAAGGATGAAGTTCTAATTATTGTACTTAAAACAAGCAAGCAAAAGAAAGACAAATGGAGCTGGGAAAGGTAGGGGTAAAAAATAAAATTTTCATGGTCATCAAGTGACTTTGATAGAAAATAGATTCTTTGGCTTGTAGAAACGAAAATGACTGAAATAAACTAGTAGATAAATAGATTTATCATGCATATGGATGGGACTTACATTCACCAAATTCAGGTGTACAGGAACTTAAGGGGATAATCTTAGAGAGTCAGTCTGAGGCCAAATGGAAGGAATTATTTCTTTATATCAAACCAAACCAGAGCCAGCTCCACAGGCATGCGGGCTGTATACTTGCATAGTGGACCCTGTGCCTAGAAGAGCCTCTTCATGGTTTAATGCTTTGCTGTTGAGGTCTTGAAATTCTTAACATTTTTTGACCAAGTAACTCCACATTCTTCTTTTTGAGGTGGGCCCTGCAAATTATGTAGCTAGCCTTGCAATAACATGGAGAAGTCATTAATCTTGAGAACTGTTGCGGTTAACAGTATCCATAAGGTAAAAAAAAAAAAAAGTTTGGATAAACTCAAAAACGAATGTGGAACTCTCTTATAGAGTCTGATTTTAAAAAGCTAGATATTGGTATCTCATTGTGGTTCTGATTTGCATTTCTCTAATGACCAGTGATGATGAGCTTTTTTTCATATGTTTGTTGGCTAGATAAATGTCTTCTTTTGAGAAGTGTCTGTTCCTATCCTTCGCCCACTTTTTGATGGGGTTGTTTTTTTCTTGTAAATTTGTTTAAGTTCCTTGTAGATTCTGGATATTAGCCTTGTCAGATGGAGAGATTAAAAAAATTTTCTCCCATTCTGTAGGCTGCCTGTTCACTCTGATGATCGGTGATCATTAAAAAGACAGGAAACAACAGATGCTGGAGAGGATGTGGAGAAACAGGAACGCTTTTACACTGTTGGTGGGAGCATAAGTTAGTTCAACCACTGTGGCAATTCCTCAAGGATCTAGAACCAGAAATACCATTTGACCCAGCAAATCCCATTACTGGGTATATACCCAAAGGATGATAAATCATTCTACTGTAAAGACACATGCACACGTATGTTTACTGCAGCACTATTCACAATGGTGAAGACTTGGAACCAACCCAAATGCCCATCAATGATAGACTGGATAAAGAAAATGTGCCACATATACACCATGGAATACTATGCAGCCATAAAAAAGGATGAGTTCATGTTCTTTGCAGGGACATGGATGAAGCAGGAAACCATCATTCTCAGCAAACTAACACGGGACAGAAAACCAAACACCACATGTTCTCACTCATAAGTGGGAGGTGAACAATGACAACACATGGACACAGGGAGGGGAATATCACACACCAGGGCCTGTAGGGGGGTGAAGGGCTAGGGGAGGGATAGCATTAGGAGAAATACCTGATGTAGATGATGGGTTGATGGGTGCAGCAAACCACCATGGCACGCGTGTACCTATGTAACAAACCTCCACGTTCTGCACATGTATCCCAGAACTTAAAGTATATTTAAAAAAAGGACCTCAAAATACACACACACACACACACACACACACACACACACACACACACTCTAGATATTTTTAGTTTTCTCATGTTTGATGATTATGTAATAAAGGCCAACCACCAACAGAGGGCCTGATAGAGAATGAAATTTCCTTTCTGAAACCCAAGTGGAGCATGTTAACTGCTACAAATTTGAGTAAAGAATAAATTGCAGTAGAAATACTGATCAATTATCTTTCAAAAGAATAAAAACTTGAAATAATGATTACCGAACAAACAGAATTTTGGATAAAATGTGATACTCTTCTCCGTTTTCAGCATTTAAAATAAGTAAGTTTACTTGATTGCTCTGTATGACCCTTATTCTCTCTCCAGTTTTCCCAGGAGCTTCCTTGATTCAATCATTTGAACAATCTCTCCTTTTCCCATTTAGACAGAAACTAAAATTTCTGACCAGGAAACATTTCAAAGAAGGGAAAGATCCCCAAGTACTGAACTTGAACACAGCGGGCTGGCTCTGTACAGAGTCATTTCAGCTCTGTGCCTGTTCAAAAAAGCTACTTCAGAAATTCTTGGAATTTGGTCTTGAAAATATAAAGAGTATGTTAAACAGTTACTCAAATGTATTTGCTAAATTTATTATAAATACCCATGTAATGAATCTGATGGGAAAACATTAACTTTCTGTCAAAAAGGTCACTGGATTTTAAAATAACAATAATCTTACCAATTTGAAAAGTTTCAAATTTGGCAAACAGCAATTCTGGGGTAAAATGCAACAGTCATCCAGTTACAATCTGGGGACTTACGTCCCCACATCATTATTTAGGAACTAGACTATCTCTAAAACTGTAAGTCTAGTGAGTTTTATGAAGTCCTATGAAAAAGTGTCTGTGAGGGAAGTACCAGACTTTTCTGCTCAGGACATACAATGCAGCTCTATTTTCTAACTACCTAAAGACAGAAGTTCTCAAAGTATGGTCCTGGAGCCACCAACTTAACATGAGGCTTGTGAAAACTGCAATTCTCAGGCCTAGGCCTAACACCTCCTGAAAGAGAAACTCTGGGGAGTGGGGCCTAACAATTTGTGTTTTAAAAAGCACTCACATTCCGATGCTCACTAAAGTCTGAGACTACTGCTTTAAGGCAACCAAAGGCTTTTTAATACTTCCTAAAAATGGGGGTCTTGTGTGATTTCAATTTCTAACAAGTGGTCAGATAAAAGACCACCAAAGTTCAGAGACTGGCTTTGAGCACCATAAACACTGAGTAAGGTTCATCTGAAGCAGATAAAATAGAAAAAATAAAACAGAAAGTATCTGAAGACATGTACTATAAATAAAGAACATTAAAAAACTTCATAGTGAGAAACATGCTTTTCATTTACTTCTAATATTTTAAATAAAAATATTTTGAATATTAATATATAAACAGATTTCCAATAACAAGGGCCTATAGGTGATGGTTTTGATCTTGCGTGTTTCTATTGCTGAAGAATGTCATCTTATTCCTAATATAGAAATAATGTATTGCTTTAAAATCAAGACTGAAAAACACATTATAATAAAGAAATCCATTGGAAAAACAAAACATGCATTAGGTAACCAGTAACTGCACTAAAACAGATACACCACTCACATATTCCATTATGTAAATGAATTCAAAGATATTTCATGACTGATCAGCTAGAAGGGACATAATGATTTATAATTCAAATAACTGAGCACTGAAATCAAATTGAACTAATATATATTTCTAAATATGCAAACCTGAAATAATTGCTAAAAAATATAAATCAATGTACCCATGTTGAAATCATTCCTATCCCCTGGCTTAAAATATTATAGCTTTTAAACTTTTATCTAGTAAGTTTTCTGAAAATATGATTTTTTAATTCACTTTGAGAAGTACTCAAAAGCAATAAACAGCATGTAAAATAAAAGGCTATAATATTTGAATTAAAGAATATATAATAGGCTTAATAGGATAGAAAAAGATCTTAAATAGCAGATACAAATAAATTAGGCATTATGCAAATTATACTAAAAGAATACAAATCAAATTAATTTTATACTAAATATCAATTTCAACCTAAAAAAATAGGGTAAATCTAAACAATAGATATATGCTATAAAATAACTGAGGCTTCTTTGCAGATAATATGCTTTCAAAGTAATTCATTGTGAAAAGGCCAGAGTTTGCAATACTAGGAAGTACTTATAAACCACTTCATATGTTAGAAATAAAGAGTATTTCAGCATTATTATTAGAAAAAAATATGGGTTGAGTTTTTTTTTTAATAAGAAAAAATACATATCTTAAAAAGCCAAATGACCATTGGAATTGGGTTGTACATCACTTTCCAGTAAAAAGGAAAAACAGCCTAGACAGGTGTAATTTATCATTTTTCTGATTTAATATCAAAGAAATATATTAAAATAATAAAAAGAATCCTGAAATCCTCAAAATTTGTAGTGATAAATAGCCCTCCCTGGCTTTATTGCATTATACCTACTAACAGAAATATTGCATGGTGGATTTTGCCAGACAAGGACGATTATTTTCCAATAAAAAGTTGCATATTAAATTCCAGCACAAAAGTGGGTGTCTAATACTTTGGAAATCTTTTATGGTTTACCAAGGAATACAATTTTAAACTTAACTAACATAAACATATTCCTGGAATGAACCTACATTAAAGGTTTCCATTCAATGCCACCATTTTCAGAATTTGTCCTCATATTAAAAGATCAGCTAATCTTAGTGATTAATCCAACACTTATCTTTCACAAGTCCTATATATTTGATAGCTAATGTAGAAAAGAAAATCTACATGATTCTCTCTAGTTGTTAGAAATATGACAATACTGTCAACTAGACTTTAGTAAGAAGATTCTTGGTTTTAGAATTTTAAAAATCTGCTAGACAGAGAAATCTAAACATTTAATGTATAATGGGGAATCTTATTTTAGATTAGATTAGATGTTGATTTGGTGGGGGCAATAATCAAAGAAATGGTCAAAAAACTTATTTTCTTTGTATTACTCCATTGTGCCTTTCAACTAATGAAAATGATGTTCTTTTCAACTGAAGAATATTAGAGATATATTTACTCACAGGAATGCAGTTTTTATAAGGTAATATTTTTAGAACATTTTGACCTCCTTAAAATTAAGTTACATACTTTCTTTTAGGACACGAATTTCTGACAATTACAAAAAAGCATGAACTAAAATACATGTGGACTTTCTTATATAACCATTTATTAGCCTGGGTGAGTATAAATATAACTGTAACTACTTAGGAATCTATATGTCCATATAAATTCAACAGTGATTCCGACTAAATGCTTCATAGTATACAGCTAATTAAAACCTTTCAAAAACATGCATTTACAGATAAGGCTAAATGAAAGGTCTTTTTATTTTTTTAAAAAATTGCAAAAATTATAAACAAGGAGAATACCTGGTTAATTAAATGCATCTGCTAGGTTGTTTACACATAATGTCAGATATACAGTGAAAAGGATATCCAACAGAAAGGTCATTTAGGAACTGAAGAGTCCTTGAAATTACAGGCTCATATCTTCCCCAGTATTTAAGGTTTGTAACACTAAATATGAAAAAAAGTCTTTAATTATAAGTAAGATATTTGCTTGTCTAAGGAGAACCAGAGAATACACATAAATTTATGTAAGTTTGATGACCTAAATCACAAATATTTTGAAAGTGAAAAACAGGCTCAAAAACATTGTCTATTCTTTCAATAGCATATTCAAAATTATATGCAATCTGCAATGAATATTGCTCTCCAAATGGTGTATAATTCTACATATTTAGTTTTGTAAATTAAAAAGTTGTCTAAGTGTTTCACTGGAAAACATCAAGTTTGTACCCAAAACATATTAGGGAGGAGAAGCAGGAGTTACAAAGAAAGCCAAATAGAGGCTCACTGTTACTGCCAAATAATGAACCATCAATCTGTGGCTCCAAAACTCACTTCTTATGATCACGACTGTTTATCTAACTTTGCTGTCTGCAATCAAGACAGTGTTGTTTGTCTGTTACACAGATAAAGCGGGGTGCCAGGTGGAGGCATACAAGTTTGGCTACGTGTACAAAGTTATGACTAGAAACTAGTTTATTCTGCTAATGTTATAAGTCCAATATAAGGACAGTTTCCATGAATATGTCTCTGCCAGCCATAGGTTTCTCTTAGAACTAATGAATGCCCTATCAGACCTCTCTCAATGATTTCAATTTGCAATAATCTCTTCACGTGGTCTTTCAAATCGCGTGCTTTTCTTTTTAAATAAAAAAAAATGCTGCCCAATTGATCTGAAGAGTCAAGGTCTGTAAATCTTTTAAAATCATCATCTGATGCTGCACGCTGCCGTTGTATGGAAACTTGACAAATTACAATGTCCTTTGGATGGTGACTTTTCAATATGTGAAATTAAGTTTCAATTAAGAACAATGCTAACATTCTAACAAAGCATAATTTTAAGTCTTTTATTTAAAAATTAATATATAAAAAGGTTTAAATACAATAAAAAGATCTATTACATTTAAAACAACAACAAAAGAAAAATTAAAGACCAAAACAAGAACTCACATTTTTGTCATGAACGTCTCTAGAACGTGGTTGTCATCTGTTATTCCTAAGACTTCTGACATACGAGCATATACCTGCATTAAAACATTTCATTGTTAAAAGTTTTACTATTAACATATATTTTCAAAAGACTATTCGAATTGAACAAACATAAGATTTAATGCACTGTGGTATCCACACTGAAGTAGGGAGTGGGTGGGAGAGCAAAGGAATTTTTTAAAAAGAATCTTATAATTTTAAAATTTGCTAACTTTTTCCTCCAGATCGCTCCTATTTTGAAATATATAAACGCTTACACACAAACACACTCATATATCCATTTTACTCCCACCACACCACACACATTTTTTTTTTTTCTCAAAGTGGTAGACCACCCCTTTCTGGAAGACGGGAGTAGGTATGCAAAGGGCTGGAAAGTAGAGTACTTCAACAAAAGGTTCCAACACTTAAAAATTTTCCACCTATTCTAGATTTCAGCAAAATATTAACCATTTCAGGATTATTTAAGGCAGTTATAAAAATAAGGATTTAAAAAAATCAAAGGAAGTTAACTTATAGAAATTCTCCTCAAATATTACCTAATTAAGCTTCCCCAAATATACAGGTACGTCTTACTTTTCATGTTGACACTGAAATCCCAAGCTCAGGGATTCCCTGTTGAAAACATCAGGGCCTGGGAATCCACTAAGCTTCCAATTAGGGAGTGTTGGTTGCAGAGTTTGGGGTGCAACATTTCAGTCTCAATCCAAGCCACATTAAGCTTATAAACACATATCCCACTTCAAGTGGGAAAATGCCACTTATACCCCTTACTAGCCTGGCAAAGCTGAGAGGTGGGTTGACACCTCCATACTCCCTGATGCTCTGGTGTGATTCCAGGTTATCCCTGCCAGTCACCAGCTGTATGGGATTTCTCTTCTGTGATTTGATCCTCTGTGATTGTGTTCTCTCACTTTCTCCTAATCTGCCTATTTCTTATGTACAGCAACATAGCTTCTATTCCCTCTGTCTTTTGTTTTTTATATCTGAACACGAGCTTGATACACCACCATAGGTCATGAAGGTATCACAGGGGCAACACAAATCACCCAGAGGTATAGGGTCATAGAGGGGAGGAAAGCTGCCATTGTAGAAATTTCTTTTCTGGATTTTAAATACCATTTGAACCAGCAGGTTGTGTTCCAGGCTTTCAACCTGAGTCCTGTGTCTGGAAGCCTTCTCCTCAGGCTGATGGAGTGAATCAGAGGGAGAGAAAAAGAGGGAGAGGAGGAAGGGTTAGGTGTAGAGGGTGACAGAAGGCAGGAAGGGCTGAACGGTGGAGAGCAGAAGCTGGGGAAGAAAGAGAGAGAGAGAGAGAGAAACAGAGAGAGAGAAAGGAAGACTGAGATTCAAATTCCTGCTGCCTTACCTACTAACTTCTGAGCCCTACAGAAAAGCATTTCAGTGATTATATATCTGTGACTTTGCCCATGAGAGTAGGCCTTCATCTCTAACAAGATTAAAGTGACCATTGTTGCTTGTAAGATGTTTGGGGGAAAGAGGGAGCTAAGGAGGAGAGAGAATCTAAAGAAGTCAGTTACCAACAATCCTCAATAATCACAAACCTTTAAGCACAAAGAGGGCTCTAATGAAGAATGATATGTAGAACAGAAAGTTTCCCTAAGCTCACCATGATGCCAAACCTCTCTCGTATATAGAAGTATACAAATTGGGTCCCTTGGAAAACCTAGCATCGACATGATTAATGGCACACAAAGCATTTCACAACTTGGCCTCAGCCTACCTCAACTTCCACATTTCCCTCAACCTCAAGCCACAATAAAATGCTGATGGATCACTGAGACATCTCATGCAATTTCAGATTTTTATGTGTTCATGTGCTGGTCATTTTGCCTCAATCAGTCTTCTTCCTCTTTTTCCCCTCATACTCATTCAAAAGTCATCTCCTCTGAAGGCTTCCTAGGCACAGTGAGTTGAACTCTCCTTTATGTTCCCACAACGTCCAGTCCATTCCTCTGTCATGGCGCTTTTCACACTGTAACTGTTTGGATGTGAATCTCCCTCATGACACTGAGTGCTTCTTGAGGGGTGACACTATGCCTTATTCTTTGTGTCCCTACTATTGCACCTAGGGCAATATGTGTCAAGTGAATACTACGTGGCTTTAATGTGCAGTGGAAGGACACGGTCTGGATCTACTAGGACTATATTATAATGTGAATAGTTTTTACACAAAGAGAGAGAAACGACTTTTCCCATTAAGCACATATTGGATTCTACAGACAAAATACATAGAATCGTAAATTACAACAGAAAAAGAAAAGTAGCTAGAGAGAACAGCTTGAATATTTAGTAACTGATTATAGCAATTGTCTTTAATTTTATTTTAGTGGCACCCCTGTCAAGAGATCCTTAAAATAAGCCCAGTTTTATAAAATCAACTAACAGTAGGGATCAGACACCCTACTGTGTGCCCTGCTTTACCCACTTGCTCAGTTCCAGGGCCAGAGACTGTGTGCCCTTAACTCTGACTGGAATTTAAAAGGCACGTTTGTTTAACAAAGATGAAAATATGAATGAGTATGTTTAAACTAGCTTTACCACAACTCAAAGCACAAATTCTTTGATGGTACACAGGATCATTTATATAGATAAATGAAATTAATAATAAATTCCATGACATCCTGGTTTTGGAAAGGATGTGTCCATGGCATTATCTCAAATTACTTATTTTCTTCTTATTGTATTTACATCTTTACTGGTTAATTTTCTTGTTTTCGATAAATAACTACAGTGGACTTTCGTAAAATCAAATTTTACATTTTCAAGACATTATAAATGCCTTTTTTATGGCAAAACTCAGACATAATTTTTGTTTTAATCATTTTATTATGCATTTTAAAATGTGATTTTAAACATTTCAAACATTTTAACATTAAAAAATGTGCTTTCTAATTCAATGGGTCCTACAAGGAAGTTTTCCTACCGTGTCCCTGGCATTCAAAAGAGGAGGAAGCTAGGCAGGCAGGTCTGTTGTGTTCTGCTGTCAAAACAGTTTCTCAAAGCATCAGATCTGACCCAATAATATACTAGAAAAACAGTCAACATTGACACATGGCAGTGCTTTAATCCACAATTATCCTTGTAACTTGCACCATTCCTTTTATCATCCATTAGCTTTGATTCCCATTATCCCATCTAGAACTGTGTCAATGCTTTTGTCCTTGGGGATTTCTCTCCACTACTAGGATCTGACAGTCAAGCTTGAGTACTAAACAGGATCATTACCTCTTAAATCCACTTATCTGATCTACTGAATAGTAAATTGAAAAGCTCATTAAGAGCAACAATCTGATTTGTTTTCATGTGTGACAGGGTCATTTAAAATCAATGTATGATTACAGTGTTTCTTTTAAAAGACTGTTTCTCATTTTTCAAGGTACCTTATCATTCAGATAACATGCAGAAAACATGAAAATGTCTCCAAACATTTGAAATTTAATTATCCCTTTTAAACATGGATAATTTGGGAGTGAGAAGTAATTTGTTCAGTTAGGAAATACCTACAAAATCGTTTATCATCAAGCACAGGTCAATGAAAGTCTTCTACAGAAAAATCTTCTAACACAGTATTTAGAGTTTTTAACACTTTCTACAACTTGTATTATTTCAACCGAAATAATTTTTATGACACCAAGAAGAAACCATATTGCAGTATCTATTTTAAGGAAGTATATAGGAGTTACATAGGAATGCAAGAAAAGGAAAAAAAAAAAACTCACTTTCAGTCCACAGATTCCTTGTCTCTTATTTCAGAATGTATTAAGATAATCTCATCACAATGAAAAATGAGTCAAAATCTAAGAAATAAGAGACTAAACCTATCTGTGTGGTCATCCTTCAGAGAAGGATGGCCAATACAATGACACTGAATATATGGTTATGCCTTTGGTTATGAGTTTTATATAGTCAGAGATGCACATTCTGTAACCAAGGTTTTGCCTGTCTGAGCCCTCCTCCCTTCTTTCCTTCTTCTGCATTTCATAATATGCCTGCATAATAGACTGTAAGCTCCCTGAGAGCAGAAATGATGCTCTGTTTTTTTAAAATCTCACGTGCCTACTACTCAATAATGTTTCTTAAATGAATAAAAAGAATATATGGTTAAAATGTACATTTTGGTCAATCCCATTTCATATATGATTCTTTAACAAAGGAAAACGCATAAAAGGCATGTATTCTTCCCCCTGTGAAATAATATACCCCAAATCCTACCCATCTGGGATGAACACTGGTAAAATGTTGTCATTTTAAAAGGTGTGGTTTTAATGCTTAAATAATATTTCTGGAAGAAGCTCTCCCTATAAATTCAGTAAGAAGAGTCTTAATTTGAAACCTTGCCAGCCTGTTACGGGCACTTCTCAAAACATATAATAGAATATGATATTTTTGTAGTATTAATTTCCACACGAATACGTTTCCTCCACTATTTTCAGCATGTACTCCTGGAATGCAGGGGAAATGTCTATTTCTCTTTACATCTCCAGTGGTATATTGTCTTAGAACACTGTCGTGATAAACTTAGCAAGTAGAAAAAGCACAGACTTTGGTCCCAAAGATACTGCATTTGAATTCTATATCTGCCACTAACTAGGTGTTTCTTAAGGTCTCTGAATCTTGGTTTCTTACCCATAAAATAGTAATAATAATAATAATACCTACTTTAGGCTGGGCGCGGTGGCTCATGCCTATAATCCCAGCACTTTGGGAGGCCGAGGTGGGAGGATTGCTTGAGCTCAGGAGTTCGAGACCAGCCTGGGCAACACGGTGAAACCCCAAACTAAAATACAAAAAATTAGCCGAGCGTCGTGGCGTGTACCTGTAATCCCAGCTACTTGGGAGGCTGAGACAGGAGAATTGTTTGAACCTAGAAGGCGGAGGTTGCAGTGAGCCAAGATTGTGCCATTGCACTCCAGCCTGGGTGACAGAGCGAGACTCCATCTCAAAAAAAACAAAAAAACAAAAAAACCTACTTTATGGGCTTTTGATTAGATTAAATGATGATCCCGAACTCAGAGCTTGACATTTAATAGTTACTCAACAAATGCTGTTTCCCTGTACAACCTTTCATTGACCCTTCTGCACAGTAGGTGCTGAAGTGGTCAGGTAACACCTTTTGAAGAGAAGGCTCTTCACATGAAAAATAACAGAAAAAATCAGAAGGTGCTTTGAAGATTTTCACACAGCATAAAGACGGTTAAAACAAATAAACAAAATCTTATAATCTGTATCCATAACTCTTAAATCTTTACAAATATGTTCAATTAACACCTTCTAGTAACACTCAGAAATTGCATTTGTTAAAGGCATAAAGGAACTGCTTCAAAATTTCATGATACAAAATCAAATTCTTTCTACTTCTCAATGTGTATTGTCTTAGAAACTAGAAAAATTACCCATTTTAACCAGTTACCCATCTCTCTTGCTCCTGAAATATGGAAAGTGATTAGAAATGTAAGGAATTATCATTATTACAGATTTGAGAAGGCATGCTCTTAAAAAACTGTTTTAATATATTTGTTTTCTTAGCCGTATTTATTTTACTGCAAAGGTTCTTATAAATTTAAGAAAAGAGCATTTGGATAGTACATAATGCTTCAATGAGCCAATACATTCTCCAAATTCTCAACTCATCAAATGACAAATATTGCCTGTAGAATTTGCAAGTAGCTTAAAAGATGTTACATATGGTTTTAAAAAGGGAACTAGGTAAGAAAAACAGATGCGGACATAAACTACAAATAGCAACATAATTTTGAGTTGTACATTTAATAAAGAATAAAAAAAGCATGTGCCGAAATAATTTTTAAAATTTCTTTTACCAATCCTAATCCTTAGTCTTAGGTATCTGGAGCACTGTCTCTAACATTCTGGTTATAACTCTGAGGAAACTAATTATGTCAATCTTTAAATTTGGAGTAGATTACAGAACTGGGAAACCCAGAATATTAGTTCCTAAAGATTGTATGGATATATAATGACAGTCACAGAAATTCAATAACAGTCCTTTATGAAATGTACTCAAAAGCACCACATGAAACAAATTAAAAAGAACAACGAATCTCTCATTCTGTGCAAATAAGAAAATAAGAGAAAACACTGGTTCTATAGGTTTTCAAAAGAGTTTTTATAATGAATTAAGATTTTGGATAATGAATCTTCAGAAAATTATAGTAAGTTAATACCCTTAGGCCTTCTATAAGTGTTTAAGATGCTATAACTTCTCAAAGAGCTTTAGTGCATTGTTTAAGCAGGCTCAATGCAGAAAATTAACAGTGCAGTAGAAGTCAACAACAAAGTATTTTGCCATTGGATGACAAACCTTCTCTGAACCAATTTATTCTCAAAAACATATCAGGTAATACAAAAGTGATACCACAAAAGATCCCCCAAATATTACTGTGAATTTTCAAGTATTGTTTCAATCTATTGGAATGACTTATTAATGAAGGTTTTTAACTGGTTCTAAATTGGTAAAACAAAACCTGTCACTGGAAAGGATCCAATATAATGAAAGCATTAGTGTTCCTTAGGAAGAGAATTTAGGAACACAGTATGAAATCACTTACTATGAATAAGAAATCAATTTTCATATTTTTGTTTTAGGCTTCAAGTGCCTTTGAGGTCAATTCAGTGCTTTCTATAAGAAAGACCTCATCAATGTGAAAGGCATTAGTAGAGGAGGGAGGAGGAGAGGTGTAAGAAAGAATAGAGCATTTAATGACTTGGATCTAAACCATTTGGAACTAAAGGTACTTAGCTCTTTCATTAACATTTGAAGCAGGATAAAATATGATAATCACAATTAACTTATCACCATAACAAGAGAATTAATGGTACAAACATCATTGCTGTATATTAAATACACAAACTTAGTGACACTGAATAGATCCACATTAATCCTGGGTGACTAATTTTTCCATATCGTTTCAAATAACATCACTAAATATAAGCCTGAAATTAGACAGAAAAATCTTTTGCCAGAATTTGATTTTAAAACCATAATTTATGTTGGAAATCAAGTGGTAAAAGGTGAATAATCCTGCTTGCCTCATTCAGTTGAATAAGGAACAGCATCTGATAAAGAAAAACTGGTTATGGAAGTATAAAATACATCTGAATGTTAAACATTTATTTCAATTAGAATATCTGAACCCACCATCTGTGGTGGCCATCTTGCTAAGGGCACATGTACCTAACAAATCTCTTAAGAGGCATTCCCAGTCTGCTTGAATAAGCTATTGTATAAGAAAACTTGGAGTGACCACTTTGGCCTCACATTTCCTTCGCTCCACATCCTGTGGCACAAAGCATGAACTCAGCAGGCTGGGGTGCAGGGCTGCCTGCTGCCTTGTGATAATCCCCTCTCCCAGTAGGGGCCTCCACTGATGCATGGCTAAGAACATGCTTCCTCTTTTGCTTGCACCCCAGTGGGGTTTCCATTTCTAACTTGGGCCCAAATCCAGACTGCTAAGGAAGGTGGAAAAGTCAGAAAGCTCCAGATGCTGTCAGAGATATTTCTGAGTCAGTTTCTAAACAATAATTTATTAGAAAGAGTACAGGTATAATGTGAAAACCAGCAAGGCTGGTAATTTTGGAGAGATTCTTTTCCTCCCACCCCCAAGCAGATCTAGGGTCTAACTACCACCTGTTCAACAGAAGCTGGCTGTTTGCCTTACTTTCCTTCAGGGAGCCACTGACTAAGGATCTCCACCAGCATGAACCTAATGCCTCCCGACAGGCCTTCCCTAGCCAAGAGGGACCTGGGTTGAGTGCACCAGTTACTGGTCACAGGATATGCAGTCCACAGAAAGACTCCTGTGGTGCAACCAGCTGAAAGCCAACCAGAGAAAATGGAGAGTGTACATTTGTCCTGACACAGCTTTGCTCCTGTTGGCTGCCAATTCACTCCATGTCTGGGGCCAAGCTTCTGTTAAACTAGTCTTCTATGGATAAAGCCATGGTAAAGCCCTGGGTAAATATATTATCTCCCCAAGCCCATTCAAAAAGAAGCTAACTATGGCTATGGCACCAGATGCTTGGGAAGAAGGCTTAATTTTAGTAGAGGATTTTGGGACCATGGTTTGAAAGAGCATTTCAGACAGTTAAAGGAATATTTATAATTCTTTGCAATAGCAAGTTTATAAGATGACGATTAAATTTTAGGGCAAAGAAGCTGATGCTGGATGAAGTTTGTGAGAGGGTGATAGCAGAGGTGGGGAACTGGGAAGTAAAATATTTTGTTTAATCCCCCGTACCTCCTAAAGGTGTCAGCCAGAAACACATTCTGACACAAGGGATACATGTGCTCTAGACACTGTTCAATAACAGATGCTATTCAATGTAGCCAAATAAAACTTTCTTAAGTATTAATAACTGATTATAATTGGTTACTCAGCAATGTTAGCATCAAGAAATCTAGGATGCTTTTGTACTATGCAACCACATTAAATATAGGCTTTGCAGCTAATACTGCTTATTAGTGGACTACTAAACCTTTGGCTATAAAATATGAACATTGTAGAATTATATAATGCATAAAAAGGGAATGAAGACAATGCATGCCTACACTTAATCATTGTATGCATATGCCTGTTTTACTAATTAGAATCTGAGGCTGTAGTGAGACAAGCATAAAGATTGCTGGTCCACCATCATAACCAGCAACCCAACTCACCTTAACTATTTTCCAAGCCTTCTCTGGAACTCTGGGTACATCACTCCTCAGGCGTACAACCTAAAAAGCACAAAGTTTAGGGACCTGCCACCTGGCACCAGAAATAAGAGCAAAAGGCCTCCCCAATCTCAAATAAAAGGAGAAAGTGGCTGACAATCTTTGTGGTTGTTACTTATGATATTCTTGGGACTTTGATTTTATTCTGGAGCCCATGAGCAGAGACATGGTGAAGTCCTGTTCAAATTCTGGATGTGGTTATATGAATGACAATGGGATTGCTTCAGTGAGATAATTCCAGAAACCAGTTACTAAAAGCTAGCCCTAAAAAAGAATAAATCATAAATAATATTTGACAGAATGATTTTTAAGAATCTCAGCCGGGCGCGGTGGCTCACGCCTGTAATCCCAGCACTTTAGGAGGCCGAGATGGGTGGATCACCTGAGTTCCAGACTAGCCTGGCCAACAAGGTGAAACCCTGCTTCTACTTCTACTAAAAATACAAAAAATTAGCAGGGCGTGGTGGCACGCGCCTGTAATCTCAGCAACTTGGGAGGCTGAGGCAGGAGAATCACTTGAACCCAGGAGGCAGAGGTTGCAGTGAGCTGAGACTGCTCCATTGCATTCTAGCCTGGGCGACAAGAGTGAGACTTCATCTCAAAAAAAAAACCAAAAAGAATCTCTTAGTACTGTTTCCCATGAAGCACTTTCATTATAGAAGTGTGGCAACTGAGGCTAATGACTTAAGCAGGCAAAGTAACCTTCTGATTGGCAAAAGTACATCTTTTAACTAGGGTTACAAAGTATAATATCACAAAATAGGAGGTAATCTAGTGAAGTGGTTAGGAATAGATTCTGAAGCCCAAGACTAGTGAGATTCTGCCACTTACTAAGTAATTTTGAGCAAGTTGCTTACCCTTTAAACCTTAGTTTCCTCAAATATAAAAAGGATGAGAGTAGTACCTAATCTGTGGAATTTTTGAGATTAAAATGGTTAATTTATGTGAAGGACCTATAACAGTCCTGGTATACAGTAAAATTTTCATAAGTATTACCTATTATTTTTATTGGAATGTCTCTTTTCTTTGTGCTTTATCTGGACTAGATACTAGAAAACAGATATATGTTCTAAGTGGGTATGTGAGTAGCTTTAGTAGTAGTTAGAGGGGAGAGGGTCTTAATGAAAGGTAACATAACTTCTAATATTAAATAATGGGTCTAGTCTTTGAGTCTTGCAAAGAAATAAAGTAGTAAGAAAAGTGATAGAAAAAAAGTCAGGAGAAAAACAGAATGATCTGTGGTATTTGGTGTTATTTTATCTCAAGAACTTATCTGCATCACCTATATTGCCAGATTCAAAGCTTTCATCCTCATTTTTTGAGTCAATACAAGTTCCTGCTTCCTATCTCCAAGGTAAGTTTTCAACTCACTGAGTAAGTAGATGATCACTGTGTCCAATAAGTTATCAAAGTTTTCCCCATTCAGATCAATAGGTCCATCCAATTGTCCAAATTTTCTTCTTTTTTCTTTTTTTTTTTTTTTTTTTTTTTTGAGATGGAGTCTCACTCTGTCGCCCAGGCTGGAGTGGCATGATCCTGGCTCACCGCAAGCTCTGCCTCCCGGGTTCACATCATTCTCCCGCCTCAGCCTCCCGAGTAGCTGGGACCACAGGCGACTGCCACCACGCCCAGCTAAGTTTTTGTATTTTTTTAGTAGAGACGAGGATTCACCGTGTTAGCCAGGATGGTCTTGATCTCCTGACCTCGTGATCCACCTGCCTCAGCCTCCCAAAGTGCTGGGATTATAGGCGTGAGCCACTGTGCCCGGCCCAAATTTTCTTTACTAAATTAATGTACACAGACACGGGGGTCCAGAACACTATCATTAGTTTAAAATTATTAAGAGTTTTTAGGTGATGGGCTCCCAAGGGGCATTCTCTCACAGTGGGAACAGAAAGGGGCTACCTTTCAGAAATAAATATAATATTACTGATCTCTGACACTAGACTATTGGTTCTAGGTTGCTTCTCCTATTGTAGGACATAAAATATCAAGGATCTAGCTTAGTTCTTTTGTGACTGATGGCGAGCCAGGACTAGACATCCAATCTTCAGTTAAAGAAATGAGTCTTTTCCTTGGGAAGTAAAACAGCTAGTATGGAGATGAAACTTATGATATTGGCATTATCAGTCAACACACTCTGAAACTGATCATTCCTGGACTCATGCCTAAATACATACATAGCCAATGTGATACAGCGAAAAGCAAACTGGGTTCAGAGTAAGATGATCTGGTTGAAACCAAGGGCCTGCCACTAAACAAGCTTTTAATTCTGAAATTGTTTCATATTTCTGCAAAATGATATTCATGTATATTAAACAGAACATTGTTGAGAAGACTAAATGAGAAAATGTAATGAATAATTCAGCAAAGTGGTTAAATGCAAAGCAGAAACCCATTGCAGGTTAGATTAAGGTTGAAGATAAACTGCATTCTCAAGTGATATTTCCTAGATATTTCTCATTCTACATTACCTGAAAATACAGGATTCATAACTTACAACATGGATAATGTTTTAACCCCCAACACCTTAATCTTTAGGAAGGTTAGAGAGTATCATGTGTTAGGCAGCCGCACCTGCTGGAAAGTGTGGTATGACAGCCCATAGCTCATGAATGCAAATGACCAGATAAAAAGGGCAGGTGAGAACTGGCACCAACAAGCATGAAAACATTTCTAATGAGTCAGAAAAGTGGGCCAAGAGGGAGCAAGGAAGGAAGTGACCATGAAAATTGAGAGACAGAAATGGACAATAAATGGTCAAAGGCTTAAGAAAAAAAAAAAAGGTTACAACAAAACTTGAGAATTGCAATTCTCAGCAAATGGAAAGCCACCAGTACTAAGGTGTTTAGCACATTTCAAAATTTTCTATTATGTTATAATTTTTCTTGTTAAAAGTTTCCAACTAAACTTACTGGGCATAGGAGATTTTCCATGGAAATGCATTTCCAATTTTGTAATGGGTGTCAACCAGAAAATGCAATTCACATAGGAGAAACTTGTTTCAAAGCCAACTTGCTTAAACACATCTATTCAGTAAAGCAAGGGATACTGGCGCTGGGGAGCCACGCAAGGCCTAGGGGAAAACAAAATTCCAATAAGTATGCCAAATGTGCTTTTATATTTCAAGACTCCTTCAAAAGAAACATTATGGGGAGATAAAAATTAGGAAAACACTGAACTTAACTAATTTAAAATGTTGAAAAAATATTTTGCATTTATGTTTTATAACCAAGTGCTTTTCTCACATTTGTCCCAAGGCAGCAGATAAAGCACTATATTCACCATTGCTAATACTAGCAATTGGAACATGCTCTTTGGCAAGGCAGAAATAAGATAATTGTTCAACATAGGCTGGCTTTTCAGAAATACTGGAAGCATTGCCTGTAATTATAGACATCTGTCACTGCTAGCCACTCAGTACTAACCCTGACATCAATATACAACCATAGCACTAAACTGCCTGCAGGCATAGCAATGGAGACCAGATACGCTAGGCAGGCAATCATCTGCTTCATCCAAACTATCTGTCAAAGGTTCCCAACCACAAATAGCTCTTACATTTTGTATCCTTAGGATAATATGTTGATTTATTTTAGATTCTCTAATATTTACAGTCTAGACCATCTACTAAAATAAAGAAACAAAACTTATGGCTAATGGATGCAGTTACTGTTCACAGTCATCATAAAAGGTCATAGCTCAACCCTCAAATGTTAAAAATTGATGGCAGCTTTAACCATGCGCTATCATACAGATGTTTCCTTTTGTAGAGGCAATTATTTTCTAAGGCAATTCAATATGGTAAATACAATCTTTCATCAGCAAATATGTTGCCACATTGTTTTAGTAGAAATGCTCATATTTTAAAGCCCTTTTTAAGAAGTAAAGACAAGTTTCAATGTTCATCACTGAAGAGTCCAGATCATCAGTGTGGGTTTAGCTTTACATACAGTACCTTATTTGGCAATCCCTATATAAATGATGTAATATCAAAAACTAGGAAATGGTACTGAAGAATAAAATACTTAGTTAATGAATGAGTCAACTGACATAATCTTGCCGGGTGTAAAACTTACTGAAATATACATGCAGATGTACATTCATATTTTTTATAAGACACACTGTAGCTTTAAACATCACCCTCTGTTTTCTTTTAAACAGCCAGAGAAGCAAGCTGAAAATTATTAGACATTTAGACTAATTAGGAATAAACATTCACAATTATCATAATGTGTTACTAAAAACCCAGATATTTCTTGGTCTGATCACAACAGCCAATGCTGAAGAAAAACTATTAATTACTGACAGACAGTTAGCTTACAAGTGAGCTGCATTTTAAAAACCTCCTTTAAAATACAATTGCTAAATGCCTTACAGTGCTGTAATGTGAGACAGGTTCAAATCTTATTACTTCACTGAAATTAAAACCTAAGTTTTAATACTGTTCAAGTCGAACAATGATTCCACACTTTATTGCTTTTGAAATCCCTTGATGATCATAGGGAAAAATGCCCCGGAGAAAAAAAGACTGTTTTCGATAAACAGAAAATACAGTTTGCACTCTTAGCCTCTTTGTCATCACAAAAAAAGGATTTAATGCCAATTCTTTAAAAAAAGACTTTTTTTCCCACAAAATGTGCACCTTGTGTGCCATTTGTAAAATCAGTTCACTTTCTTTTATTTATTACTGCAGTGCGGCAAGGCAATAAAGAAGCTACCGATAGCTAATAAATTACATGCCTTTTAAAACAATTCTCTTGCTACAAAAACATGTAACTACAAAGGTTTACATTTACATGGTACATCATATGAAATGTCTATATTTGTGTCCTATTAACCATCTTGGCAAATTGTGGACTTTTACCAAATAGCTAATAGGAAAAAAAATATAGTGATCCACACATGTTCACATGACATAAAAGCCGTTCTAGAAAACTACTCATGTATTTGCACTTTACAAAAATACTCCAAAATTTATTTTAAAAACATCTAAATAAATTATTTCACACATCAAAATGGTACTCAAGGATCTTCTAATCAGGATTAAACTTTACTCAATTACTGAGAACTAAGAAAGTACCTTTTTCTTCTAATTTATGTTCCTAGTATCACATAGTCTTTTAAAAATCATAATTTTAGCAGTTACTTAAAATAAATTATATAGAAGGTAAGATCACTGGAATGTAACCCAGAATGTGCCAATTCTGATTCTTAATGAATATAATATAGTACTTGTAGAAAGATATAGAAACTAGGTAATTTCGGAAACATTAAGGAACATCCGCTTATAATCTTTCTTTTGAAAGAATATTATCTTCACATATCCATAAGAATTGCTTTTAAAATCTTAATGAAAGTAAGCTATTTTGTGTCTCTGCTTTGTCTATGTACAAATGAATTCTGAAATAACTATACTCCAATTTACAGGATTAAGTTGTTAAATTAATCAGGGCATTTTCTTAATGCTTTCATGCTCCAATCTTATGATGAGAATGTATTTATGAGGTAGTGTATTGCCTTTTATTATTAATTTCCTCCATTTCCTGTAATAGCTATCATAGCTGTGGCTCTTTTGTGCATGATTCATACTTACAAAATTTCAACTTTGTTAATTATGCATGATGAACAATGCTTCAATGTTCAAAGCACAAACAACTTTGTTTCATTTCATCTTTACTTCAAGATGACAATCCACTATACAAATGAATGAAAATTTTATATTCTGTAGCACTCGATTTCTCCATTCAAATCTACTTTTTCTCTTTTCTTTTAAAATCAGTTTGATTAGGAATTTGTGGGAGTTATCTTTTTTGAAGGGTTCACGGAAATAAGTTTATTTCATTTTCACAGATTATGGAATTAGGGGAATTATTATCATCATAAATCATAATTGTATAACATCAATGTATGTGGAGAACTCTGCTATATTTCATAACTTATTTTTGCTTCTTTTTTAATAGTAAATGCTCATTTGCTGAAATCATCATTGCCTTTTCCCACACTGTAGTTGATATTAAATGATATTATTCTCAAATAGTGATCAAGAAAAATAACTGACAAAATATCCACTTTCTCTATGGCTACTTTCTCTACCTCCTACATCTCATTCATAAAATTTTATTTTAAATCTTTAATTACTTGGATTATCCTCTTTTTGGCTGGGGGAAGGCTAATTGTATTCTCCCTCTTGCATCGCTAAGAATGTACAATCAAAATAGGCACAGCTAGGTATCATTAACTCCATATATATACATATATGTGTATATGTGTGTGTGTGTGTGTGTACATATATATATATATATATATATATATTTTTTTTTTTTTTTTTCTAGATGGAGTATCACTCTGTCGCCCAGGCTGGAGTGCAGTGGCGTGATTTCAGCTCACTGCAACCTCTGCCTCCCGGGTTCAAGCCATTCTCCTGTCTCAGCCTCCCGAGTAGCTGGGATTACAGGTGCCCCGCCACCATGCCCGGCTAATTTTTCGTATTTTTAGTAGAGACAGGGTTTCATTATGTTGGCCAGGCTAGTCTCAAAACGCCTGACCTCAGGTGCTCCACGTGCCTCGGCCTCCCAAAGTGTAGGGATTACAGGCGTGAGCCACTGAGCCCAGCCTAACACAATACTTTAGATGGCAAAATCAAATAGTGGTTAGATTTCTTGAGGTTA
Organism: Homo sapiens; assembly: GCF_000001405.40. Classification (NCBI taxonomy): domain Eukaryota; kingdom Metazoa; phylum Chordata; class Mammalia; order Primates; family Hominidae; genus Homo; species Homo sapiens. The sequence continues at coordinate 171,154,738 of NC_000005.10, read as the reverse complement.
TACAGTTAAATGGTTTCCCCAACTTCCTGTTTTCACTGTTTGACAATGCTGTTTCTTAGCTGCTAGGGAAAAATATGTATTCACTGACATTTGTTCTAGTAAATCCAAAGTAAACACTATATTAAATGCTATTTCATTCAATATACATAAAATAATCTTGGCTGGGCATAGTAGCTCACACCTGTAATCCCAGCATTTTGGGAGGCCAAGGTGGGCAGATCATTTGAGGTCAGGAGTTCAAGACCAGCTTGGCCAACATGGGGAAACCCCGTCTCTGCTAAAAATACAAAAAAAATTAGCTGGGCATGGTGGCGCATGCCTGTAATCTCAGCTACTCAGGAGGCTGACGCAGGAGAATGGTGTGGACTCGGGAGGCGGAGCTTGCAGTGAGCCGAGATCGTGCCACCGCACTCCAGCCTGGGTGACAAAGCAAGACTCCGTCTCAGAAAAAAACACCTTGACTTGCACATAAAATAATCTTGGCACCTATCAGACAGTGGAAATAGCAGGTAGTTCTTGGTGCCAACTAAGAGGAGTAGGTTAAATTCATTTGTTTTACTAATTATCTTCTTAGAAAAGATGGAATATTCACTTTGTCCTCAACCCCCTTAATTTGGTTAAAAAAAAAAAAAAAAAAAAACTAAAGTGAACTGTTATTTAGATTTCTTGGTCTTGTTTGCAATTTTTATTTATTTATTTATTTATTTTTTTGAGATGGAGTTTTGCTCTTGTTGCCCAGGCTGGAGTGCAGTGGCGTGATCTTGGCTCACTGCAACCTCCGCCTCCTTGGTTCAAGAGATTCTCCTGCCTCACCCTCCCGAGTAGCTGGGATTACAGGTATGTGCCACCATGCCTGGCTAATTTTGTATTTTTAGTAGAGATGGGGTTTCTCCAAGTTGGTCAGGCTGGTCTTGAACTCCCGACCTCAGGTGATCCGCCTGAAGATTACAGGCATGAGCCACTGCACTCAGCCTGTTTGCAATCTTGAATGGAAAAGTGGAAAACATGAAGCTGAACACTTCTGTTCTCTTTTTGCACTAATATGCAACTCTTGGTCCTATCTTACTTCCCTGTGTATGTTATATGCAGAAGTGAATGACACTAAAAGAAACCCAAGCACCCCCTGGGTGTCAGTCTTCCCCTGTCTTCCCCAAGATTTCATCAGTTATCTTCCAATATGTTCCCAGTATTCTGCATATCAGTCATGGGCCTCATTACATTGAACAATGATTACCTATTAACTTTGTGTTCTCCACCAGTCTGTGATGGCAGGAATATCTTTCCCTAGGCAATAGTGTGTCCCACTGTTTAGCATATAATAAACAGATTTGTAATGATAAGTATTTGTATAATAAATGAAACAAAAAAAAGAGTGCCACTAATCTAGCCAAAAATAACATTCTTACAGACTCTGTATAAATCTTTTTCTAATGTACAATTCTTGAAAACTAAACACTGGCTGGTTCCAACCCACTGTTTCTTAATAAGATGCTGCTCTAATTAACAACACCTACTTCAGAAATATGACTAGGATCAGAATAAAATTTCTCTCCTTCTGTCACCATAAAGTCTGACCATCTCACTCTAATCAATATCCAATCAATCAATGAGAAAATAGGTGATAATCTAGCACTGTCCTAGTTGTATGACAGATACAAGATATGTATAGACACTGCCCCTTTCCTCAAGAATCTCAAACCTTGCTAAGAAAATAAGGACACAGAGCATAAAATGCTTTAGGAGCAAGATCAGGAATTACACTTCATCATTTAATGGATTTAGAGTTAGAAGGACCTAAGGTCAAATCTTGTGAATGCCACTTCCTACCTATGTACTCTTAGTTGAGTTACTCTACTATAGAAATGAGGTTAATGACACCTTCGTCATAAGATTATTTTGAGACTTATTAAGATATAATGCACATAGAAGGTTTATCATCATAGTGACTGGTGTATAATAAACAATAAATGAGTGCGAGCATTGCCATTATTAAGTTTTAACAGCAAATATGATCCAGGTATGAGTTTGTATGAGTGTGGGCAGAAGGAGGAAGAGAACAGTATGATCCAAGTTAAAAATGGGAGTCAGCATGACAGAAGGGAGCTGTGGAAACCAAAAACTGGACAGTAGATGGAGCTAGATTATGGAGAACCTTAAAAGCCAGAGTACTGGCTTGATGTCATGAGCAACAGGGAGATTTCTAAGTGGGAAGAACCCTAGGACAAGAGTGACGTTTAAGATTTGTCTGACTACATTGTGCATGATAGTTCAGAGTCAGAGGGGTAAAGCTTGTATCTTTTTGGGGCCCTTTTTTTTTTTTTTGAGATAGAGTCTCGTTCTGTCGCCCAGACTGGAGTGCAATAGCGATCTCAGCTCACTGCAACCTCCGCCTCCCGGGTTCAAGCGATTCTCTACCTCAGCCTCCCGAGTAGCTGGGATTGCAGGCATGTGCCACCATGCCTGGCTAATTTTTTACTTTTTTTTTTTTAGTAGAGATGAAGTTTCACCATGTTGGCCAGGCTGGTCTCGAACTCCTGACCTCAAGTGATCCTCCTGCCTCGGACTCCCAAAGTGCTGGGATTACAGGCGTGAGTGAGCTACTGTGCCCAGCTTCTGGGGCCCTTTATTGCCTCTGTTACCATGTGTTCTTTCTCCTCGATATTCTGAGTTTCATGGACATCTTACTCTGGTTTCTCACTTTCTAATTATTTATTTTCAGTTAGAAATTTCTATTCTTCACATTCTTGAATTGAAACTGCCCTCCGCCCTCATATACCCAGTTCCTTGGGGGAGTTCATCTGCTCCCAAGAGTTCAATTAAATATATACCAAAATGACCCTAAATCCACAGTTCTGAATGCAGAAAAACCAGCCCTCTCTGGTTTAGTTGTATTACTGAAGAAAGGTAGTTAGGTTTGGCAATTGAAAAGAAATGTCAAGGTGGCAAAATGGCAACAATTTTGGCTCTTTTTCCTTGGTTCGAGAAAGGCTAGGAACTTGAAGGAGGCGATTACCACTGCTAGGTTAATTATATAAGAATGCCATCCATCAGCTCAATGGCTCACCTAGTTCATAACTGTCTCTCATTAAGGCTTCAATGAACTACCTTCCACCAATGACCATTAACCTCACAGGGTTAGAAATGTAGCCCAGATATTTATATCTTTTCATAATAACTTGTTGAGAATCTTTAATTCATGAACTTATTAAGCCTATTTATATTTTTAATTTGTGCCATTGCTTGGGAGAAGTTCTGTAAATTTTATTATTGACCAGAGAAAGTGGAATTGCTTCTTATTTTCCCTGAAATTAACATATATTTAAGGCGACTCTTGAATTTAAATATTTCAGAAATTTTCAAGTCCTGCCAATATCCTAACTAAAAAACCAAAAACCTGATCTTGCCTTTCAAGTGTTTAAATTCCTAGGCCAAAGAGGCCTGACTCTTTCATAATATTGATTTCGGTGGTCTTTATGTGAGCTTTGCTCTAGAAAAGTGAAATATAAATATGGATTATATCTATTAACACCATGCCTTTAAATCATTTGAACTGAACCTCCACTTATAGCATCTTTAAGGTCTATTTTGCACAGATCACATTTCTGGGTAGTGACAAAGGTCAAAAAAATGTTAACATAGCCATTCTATTCTGACTATTATCTTGAAAGGTTACTAGAGGCCCCAGTAGACAGATATAAACTTTAAGGAAAAAGCAAATTCTCTGCTGGAATTTTTTACAGAGACCTCAACTAGTTCATTTTCTTTTTAAAGTAAAAGCATTTTTGAAAAACCTTGCAAAACACAAAAGCAGCGGACCAAGTTCCAACAGTGTTCCTCAATGACAAAAGGAACAAAACGTCTGCAGACAATTAGAAAAGAGCTAGGAATTTAACAAACCAAATGAAGTGTGTTCACTTCTAACTAAACAAAATGCACCACCTCTGACTCCTTATGCAGAAACTTTGGATCACAGAATCATCTCTTGGGTATGACAGAATTTTTGAAAAGCAATGTAAAAACCAGAGTTCAAATCTCCAGTCACAAATGTGAGCATGAACAATTTCCTCAACTTCTTAAAGAATCATTTTCTTCATCTATAAAATGAGGACAATAATATCTACCTTGCAAGGCTGTAGAGAAGAGTTGTGATAATGTGGACAAAATGCCTAGCATAGTATCTGGTGCAAAAAGGTATTTATAAATACTATATATTTTTATTGAGAATATCACTTGCATATCATCTAGTAGGTAAGCTTATAAAAAATTAGTACCTTTCATCAAATTGTGTAATGCTTTTTTCTTTCTTTTTTTAATGAGAGGGGACATATAAATTAATATTTACATTCTATCATTACGAATCTGTTATTAGTGTTATCACACTATGGCCAAGTACCTATTTAGACAATTTAAACTTTGATTTCTAAGAATAAGTAATTGGGAAGGGAGAAAAACATTTTAATTATATAATATTTAACACATTGCACCTAAATTAAAAAGTAATTATTCTCTGGAGGATTAAATGGGAATACCCTAAAAACACAAAGTTTTTAAAGAGTGGTATAGATTCCCAGCTTACTGTGAAAAATTCCCAACTACTTTCAAAGATTTTAACAACTCCAAAATGGCTGACAGTAGGTAAACAGAATATAAAAACAGATGGTTCAGACAATCTGAATACAAGAAAAGCAGGTGTTTAGCAAAACAGAAGCATTTGCCAGTTTGCCAATGCTGCTGGTTCCTGCTTCAACACTCTGCTTGCCTCCCCCTACCCCCACATCTGTTCACTAGTACTTACGTGATACATTAAATTGACACAGAGGATGAAGACTAACAACCTGCAAACCAAGAGTCTACAGAGGAGATCGCTGTTATTTTAAAATAGGATTTCCTCTTCTTTGAGGTTTCTCTCACTATTTTAATCTTAGAAAGGTGGAAAAATGTGTCTTTCTTCACAAGTAAGACACGTTCCATAGATTTAAGAGAATTATTTTCAAAAGAGCACAATAAAGAGATATTAAGGCCTGGCTTACAAAACACATTAATATAGATAGATGCAAACTAATTCAAAGTGTAAACCATGTCTGCAGAGTATACTCTATATTGCTCAAGTACAATAAACAAAGAAAGTACCATAAATTAGCTTCTGGACACTGTAAGAAAGCAATCATAGCGTGTCTTTACCAGATGTGTAATGAAACTATGCATTTCTCACAAAATCTTTCACTTTTGTTTTGCCTCTGAACAAACTAATCTAGGGACTTAAGGGAGATTATGATATAATTTAGAAGGAGGCTGATACAGTAAGTGAAATACGGTAAGTGAAAAGAATAAAATTAACAGTCATGTGTTGAGAGAACCCAAGATAGGAAACAGTTCTCCTGTTTAGATATTTTTATTTGTGTGATATGGGATTTTGGGGAGAAAATATATATAACTATGTGGACTTCAGTGGACACATGAAAAATGAGCATAGCTCAGAGCTCAGTAAAAAATGGAACAGTAAAAAAGATCCATGGTATCTCCAAAAGAGGTTAGGGATGCTAACAGTGGATGTTGGTAGATATCAAATGAGGAAAGGGGCCTTTGTACAGTGGCCAGGGAAGTTGAGGTGATTTTATAGAATGGGTGAAGACAGTAGGTAAAGTTAGATAGCTTGTACGTGGTAGCTACAGAACCTATGGTTAGGTTTACTTTACCAGCAATCAGCCTCTTGGTTGACTATTCTAGTTTTTACCACATCACTTGTACTGAAGTTTCAGGGACAGGGATGATGACGATAATATGAACAGCTATCGTTTACTGAGTGCTCATTATGGGCAAGCACTATGCTAAGCACTTTATATACTTTATCTCATTTAATCAACATGGTAAGTCTATGAAGCAGGTAGACATTAATATCACAATTTTACCACTGAAGAAATCACATTAATATCACACCAATCACATTAACATCACAATTTACCACAAAAGAAATTGAGACCCAGAGAAGTTATGTGTCTATTGAGTCACATATCTGTACGTGACAGGGCTGGGACTTAAACCCAAGTCAGAATAATGTCAAAGCCCATACTCTTAACCAATTACTTTATATATATGATCATGAAATGTTCTCTCTCTCTCTCTATATATATATATATATCAATACAGATATATAGACAAGTACCTCAATACTAGACAGGATTAAACTATACACTATTTACAAGTATCTGATAGCATCAAATGTGGTTTCATATTCATTTATACTATCAAAAATTCGTACTTTAAATGGGGTTTTCCATATAATATTGAGGTTCTATTAATTAAAGTCATTTAATATCTGAGATTAAAAATTTTTTTTTTAAATTTATTTTTTTATTGATAATTCTTGGGTGTTTCTCACAGAGGGGGATTTGGCAGGGTCATGGGACAATAGTGGAGGGAAGGTCAGCAGACAAACAAGTGAACAAAGGTCTCTGGTTTTCCTAGGCAGAGGAACCTGCGGCCTTCCGCAGTGTTTGTGTCCTGATTACTTGAGATTAGGGATTGGTGATGACTCTTAACGAGCATGCTGCCTTCAAGCATCTGTTTAACAAAGCACATCTTGCACCGCCCTTAATCCATTTAACCCTGAGTGGACACAGCACATGTTTCAGAGAGCACAGGGTTGGGGGTAAGGTCACAGATCAACAGGATCCCAAGGCAGAAGAATTTTTCTTAGTGCAGAACAAAATGAAAAGTCTCCCATGTCTACTTCTTTCTACACAGACACGGCAACCATCCGATTTCTCAATCTTTTGCCCACCTTTCCCGCCTTTCTATTCCACAAAACCGCCATTGTCATCATGGCCCGTTCTCAATGAGCTGTTGGGCACACCTCCCAGACGGGGTGGTGGCCGGGCAGAGGGGCTCCTCACTTCCCAGTAAGGGCGGCCGGGCAGAGGCACCCCTCACGTCCCGGACGGGGCGGCTGGCCGGGCGGGGGGCTGACCCCCCCACCTGAGATTAAAAATTTTACCTTTCTTTAGCTGCTTAGAAAAGATGATTATGGCCAGGTGCGGTGGCTCATGCCTGTAATCTCAGTACTTTGGGAGGCTGAAGTGGGTGGATCATGAAGTCAGGAGTTCAAGACTAGCCTGGCCAAAATGGTGAAACCCCATCTCTACCAAAAATACAAAAATTAGCTGGGCTTGGTGGCGGGTGCCTGTAATCCCAGCTACTCGGAAGGCTGAGGCAGGAGAATTGCTTGAACCTGGGAGGTGGAGGTTGCAGTGAGCAGAGATACCGCCACTGCACTCCAGCCTGGGTGACAGAGCAAGACTCTGTCTCAAAACAAAAAACAAAACCAAAAAAAAAAAAAACACACAAAAAAACAAACAACCACACACACACACACACACACACACACACACACACACACACAAAACAACCAAGAAAAGATGATTACATAATAATTCTACTTTTTCTTCCATGTTTTTTTTTAGACTTCAGCACAAAATAATAGCAAATGTTTATAAAAATGTATATGCCACTCATTGTGCTAACCAGGGGCTTCTCAACTTCAATACTACTGACACTGAAGGTCAGATAATTCTTTGTTGTGGGGCTGTCTTGTGCACTGCAAAATGCACCTGGATTCTATCACTAGATGACAGTGGCACCCCTCTCCCAAATTGTGACAACCAAAAATATCTTTAAATATCATCAAATGTCCTTTGGAAACTGCTGTCTGCACTAAGTAATTTACACATATTTACTAATTTAACGCTCACATATACCATAAGATAGTACTATTACTATTCTACTTTTATAAATGAGGAAACTGTGATAGTACAATTTGATGTAAGAGAATAAGTGGTAGAGTTAGAATTTAAATTTAAGCAATTCAACTCTAGCAACTGTACATTCACCTAGCACACTATACCTCTTCTCCAACAAAATAAAAAGTAGACTTCTTAGCCCTAAAGGATTATGAAGGATATATGTATATATTTTCTGGTTTAACTTGCTACTATTACCTGGGTAGAAGTTAAGGGGGATATAAAGACTGAGCTCACATAGCTCCAAGTTCCCTGCTCTGTACTGCTTATCTTAAGATGGCATAATATAGAAGTTGTTCTATTTTGGGGGGTTAAGAACTTCTTTGTGAATATGATCAAAGATATTTACCCTCTCCCAGAAAAATATACAACACATTACATACCGTTTTTTTTTGGTCTTAGAGGATATTACCTGCAGAACCTGAGTTTAATTTCTGTCCCAACAATTACCAACTGTATGACTTTGAAAAAGTTACTTAACTATGTTGACCCCTAAGGTCTCCTCTGTGAAATGAAGAAAAGTGCATTTACCCTACATGATTGTTGTGAAGCTTAAAATGATTACATGTGTGAAACACCTAGCAGAATACTGGCACGTAGAAGTCACACAATAAACAGCATTCCTCCTCTTGATAATTACATTTTCTTGTTCTGCCCTTTCTACAAAGAAAGCCTTATCCACTTTTCAATATGCTCCGAGATTTTTGGGCACACTGCTTATCATCCATGTCTTCCTTCAACTCTTATACGCATAGAAGATAAATTAGGTCTTTATCCTTATTTGTTACCTTAGAGGATATTATTTGGTCACCTCACCCCAATGCCCAAGGCTTAAGGTAAAAAAGAAGGAAAAGAAGGCATTCCTCCTTGGCTGTGTTTCCTTACCAATGTTAGAAGTAGAATTTTATGGGATTGTTGCAAGGAATAGAAAAAATTTATGTAAAATGTTTGAGATTGCCTATTACAGGTGATTAACAAATGTTTTTTCTTCTTCCTGGGGCCTATTACACACAATATGGAGTTTCCTCTAAGATGTTATCCTTTGAGTATCTAAAAACCCACATTATTAATTAAAGTAATATGTTTTCCCTTACTTTTGGGGGGATTAGTTTTTAAAGAAGAGTTAATCCACTACACGACTTCATAGAAACACTATTTTTTGGGAATGAAATATGGATCCCATTATGCGGCTTCCAGGAGACGAGACATGACATATACTTTGGGCCTATTTCAATTAACAATTTCATTACTGTTATGAGCAACTTTTGGTTTGAGCCTTCTTGAAGTTGTGTAATTGGTTCTCGCTTGTTATGCAATCTTTCTCTATTGCGCTGATAAAAATATTTCATTATTTTTGCTAGTATCAAAACATTCAGAAATCTCCAAAACAGCTGTTGATAAAAGTATGGAGGACCAGGGAGCAGAGGAACCTTGGAACGAAGTAAGGGCAAGTCTACTCCTATGGCCTTTAGAATATGCATTGTTTCTAAGAATTTATACTAAAGAAAAGTTTCTGCTTCTCTTCTGTATTTCATTTAAAAAAAAAGACAAATCTTGCTTAGGAGAAAGTGTAATACAGATTTTATTTTAAAGCACAGGTGATCTAAGGTTTGGAGACAGAGAATGCTAAGATACTAGCTTACCCAGAATTCTGATTGAGTCTGGAGCATAATGTCAAGAAAAATGGCCCCCAAAGACCAACTGTTTGGGGCTTTTGATGAGAAAGAGAGCTTTAGGTTTCTTAGGAACCACTGCTAAGCTTACTTACTAAAGTAATTTAAGATAAGAAATCTGGCTTGACTTTTCTTTATATACAGAAGCCCTGGTATTTAATATCTAGCCTTCATAGTATATGCTAAAGCACTTTTTGATAAAACAATAGCTCTTTCAATTTAATATCATGCAAGCATCACACAAATAATTTAACACTGTATTTAGTCACAAAATAGCCAAGCGAAATATAAAATTCTCTCCCAACAGGCTGCTTCTCCATATATCTTTATGCCTGGAGCCAAAATCCATCACAAGCGAGAATACTCAAGAGAAATAGTAATATAAAAATCTTGTGTCCTTCCCATTCTCAGTTCCTCTGAACCAATGCAGAGCGCTCCATGGTCTATGACATCCAAAGAAGATCATGACAAAAGAAACTACAAATTATCCTGTCTCACAGTAAGTCATAATGTCATTTCAAGTGAAGAAAACACAAAAAGGGATTTCACAGATAGTCAAACACTCAGTTTTAAAAGGTCCTCCAAATCTGATCTATGCTGTTGTGGCAGGCAGAGACCATAAAGGACAAAACACCTTTAACAAAACAAGACATAATGAACACTTATTGCCATTGGGGAAGGCAATGGGGGCACCATTCGCAGCCATCAATAAGTGAAAGAGGCAAGATGGCTGAAGGGCAACCTGCAGTTTGTATTTTTTTCCCTCTAGGACTAGGCCACTGCCACCAGAATAATTCTTTTTTTGAAATAAATAAATGATCAATCACATCTCTTACCTAGTTAAAAATATTCAATGGCACCCTATTTCTTACCTTATTTCTTTTTCTTTCTTTCTTTTTTTTTGAGATAGGGTCTTGCTCTGTCACCCAGGCTGTAAGGGCAGCGGCATGATTTTGGTTCACTGTAACCTCCACCTCCTGGGCTCAAGCGATCCTCTTACCTCACCTCGGCCTCCTGAGTAACTGGGAGTAGTGCACACCACCATTCCTAGCTAATTTTTTGTATTTTTGGTAGAGACAGGGTTTCATCATGTTGCCCAGGCTGGTCTCAAACACCTGCGCTCAAGTGATTCACCTGCTTTGGCCTCCCGAAGTGTTGAAATTACAGGTATGAGCCACCACGCCCAGACGGCAGCCTATTTCTTACAGGGTAAAACCTTCCTTCCTTAGCTTGCTGTGGAGGATCTTTCCTGTTCTGGCCCTTCCCAACTATAGTAATAACCCTTCCCCTAATTGCTGTTTTATCTTCCCAGTATTTTACACCCCCAGTCCCTCTGACAGGGACTAATCATGTCATGCTCTGTAATACTCGCATGGCTTTCTGTCTACTGTTCCCTCAGCTGAGAATAATTATCCTCTCCTTTTCAACCTGGCAAAATCATCTCCATCTTTAAGACCTCGTTCAAATATAATTTCTCTTAGGATGCTTCTCTTGACCTCTTTCATATGGAACTTCATACATTTCCATTGTCATTCTGTGCTGTCAATTATTTGTTCATCCATCTGTCTCTTCCACTCATCTGTGAGCTCTAAGCATAGGGACTGGGATACAGCAGATATTCAATAGATGTTTACCGAAGAAATGAATAAACTACAACACTGAGAGACCTACTCCAGCAAGTGGAATGACCTTGGAAAGGTAATTCGTATCTCTAGGCCTTAAACTGCCATCTGTAAAATCAGGAAATGGTGAAAAAAATTTTTTTAAAGATGTGGAACCATTTCTTTAAATAAGGGCTTACCTGGAAGGCCAATATGAGAAAGTAAGTGATAAAGAAAGTAAGCACTTTAAAGTGCTCTGTTTCACGGAAGGAGAAGATAACTTGCCAAGCTCCTCCTCCTCCCCTCCCTGCCCCAACCACGGAGCAAACAGAAAAACTACTAGACTATATATTATATGATCTCTTCCAGTTCAAGTATTCTGATTCCATGATGTTATTCAATAGTGTTTCATAGCAACACATACAAGAATTATTAAGTGGAAAATTCCTTTGTTCTGTCATCCTTTAGGAACAAAAACTTCCATTTGGAACTCTGTTTTCCCACAGTGGATTATTTTGTGGAGGTATCAAATCTGGACTAGCTGTGCTACACAACAGTGAGTGATCATGGAGCTGTTTATCCCACTAGCTTACCAGATAAGAGCAGGTGATTTGTGACAATCATTAATTTTAGGTACAAAATACTGCAATGGATAAAATAGATTTTAAAAATAAAAAACAAACTGTTTATTAATCTTTTAAGAAACCAGGTCTTTATTACTTATGCCTAGAAAAATAATGTAAATGCCTATAATTCAATTTTCATGTGCCTCTGTACTTAAGAGCTCAAGGTCTGAAACACTGGTCTATAATTCATTAGCTATTATTGACAGTCATTTATTCTGAGGTTTCATTTCCTCATCCCTAAAACTGGTATGATACTTGCTTTATGTAGTTGTTATAATGACCAAAGTAAATAAAGTATCCAGCATACTGGTACATGGTAGGCCTTTGAGACAGTCTATACTTCATTCCTTATTGAATGCTAACAAATACAGAGACAGGCTTCTTCTTCTAAGGAAAAAAAGTCATGTTTTGGACAGATAGCATTCACAACTAGCCATCTTACTACTGGCAATTTACTAAGATGAGAAGACCATGCTTGAATATATCCCAAACTTGAATTATAACTGAAAAAGCAAATTTGCAATAATTAATATTTGTGATGGGTATAAAATCTTATCTATAAAGGATAGGGCAGAACACTTGGTTCAGACTGTATCACCAACAGCAATAATAGCCTGGGTTCCAAGGCCTCACTGTCTAACAAGAGCATTTATTTACTGAACATCCAGTTAGGGATCTAGAGCTGTATAGTTGTACTCTAACAATATTTTTTTCTTCAATTACTGTTTAAATATTTGAAACTACATTTTGGCAGAAAATTCTATGAAAAAGAGACCAGTCTTACTTTTAAGAATCACCTATCATCTTGAGAGAGGGGCTCCACAAACATTCTACTAAAAATATAGAGCACAGAAGACAAAAAAATGGAAGCTCTATTATCATTAAAAACCAAAAGTAAACTCATGCCCGTAACAGGTAGAAATTTAACACCTCTATTTCCAATACAGCATATGAAAAAGATTTGAAACTAATGATAGGACCTTGTATATTTCAAGCAATCTGTATCTGCTGGTATTTCACCAATAAGTTTGAATTTCTTAGTCTTGATTTTACTTTGAAGGCATGCAAATTACGCATTTTATATGACATACTAAATAGGTATAAAAGAAAACAAAGAGTTAACCAAAAAATGAAAGTATATAAAACCCAAGATGGATATGCCAGGTATTCTGTGCTACAGGTATTATTCAGCGTTAGGTCATCAACCATAATGTTTAAAATGAACTCTTGAATAAGGATGCAATCATAAAAAAATTGAGTGACTTAGTTGAATGTTGGCAGTAGCAAAAGTCAGAATAGACACTCCCGTCAAATAAGCACTGTGATTTCAGCCTCCTCTTAATTAATTTAACCAATTCTCCAGTTTAGGCTTTTTGCTTGATCAAAGTATATATCTTCACTTTTTTTTTTTTTTTTTTTTTGAGATGGAGTCTCGCTCCATCTCAGTCTACACTCCATCCCAGGCTGGAGTGTAGTGGTGAGATCTCGGCTCACTGCAAACTCCACCTCCCAGGTTCACGCCATTCTCCTCCCTCCGCCTCCCCAGAAGCTGGCGCTACAGGTGCCCACCACCACGCCTGGCTAATTTTTTGTATTTTTTTTTTTTTTTTAGTAGAGATGGGGTTTCACCATGCTAGCCAGGATGGTCTTGATCTCCTGACCTTGTGATCCGCCCACCTCGGCCTCCCAAAGTGCTGGGATTACAGGTGTGAGGCACTGCGCCCAGCCTATCTTTACATTTTTAACTTCCCATCCTTAATAAACCAACTTTAAATACTAACTCAATTGAACTTGTAAGTCTGAGTATACTTTGTTTCCACTGAGAAAGAGATCTTATCTTGGCCTGGATTTAGGAAATCATGTTATAGTGAAAGGTCCTCTCTGACACATTTATTTTTAGTAAAGAGTAGGGAAAGGAAAAAAGAAACATTTTTAGGGATTCTGCAAATGTTTCTTAAATGAATGTTGTGAGGAAGAATCAGGTAGAGATGAGTAAGTACAGCCTATCATGGGAACAGAATGGCCTCAGAGCTGTCCTGATATGATCAAACAGCCAAAGATAGTTTCTGCTTTTCATTAATTCATTCAATTTTCATAAAACTTGATTAGATTAAAGGGTGGGAGTAAGACACAGGTAGTGTGGAATATTCTGGACTTGGAATAGCTTTTCATGTCTTCATGACACATGGATCTACCCTTCACAGTAATGTAAGAGTAGGATGAAGAGGTCCTTGGATACAAAGCAGATGTCTACCTCAAAATAGGAATTTTTTAATTCAACCTTCTCAAAAGCATAGAGGTTTATGAGTTTTGACAAATGCATATGGATGTGTAACTACCACCACAATAAAAGTTTCCATTACTGCAAAATGCTCCATTGTGCCTTGTACAAATCTCTCAGCCCACTCCCATCCCTGTACTCAGGGATTCTTAAGTTTGGCAGGACCTGTTCTCAAACAGAAAAAGACTGAGCATCAAAAGGACTTGGGGTGAGGTTTTATAAACTGGAGTATGACATGATATCTGCTCTTTATAGCCCAAACTCTGCTAACAGAAGAGGTGGCTAATCTAGTGTTGGGTATATGTACTCAGTTGTAGTTCCAGCTCCATCACTTAGCACAGTATAGCTTATTCTTTTATTCCTTTAATAAACATTGAACTGAATTTGATTAATGTGAGCTTGATAAATATTCCAATATGTGTTGAGTACTGTGCCAGATGCTGGAATGGACAAAATCAAACATGATCCCTATCCTCATGGAAGTTACAGTTCTAGTGAAAGAGACAGATATTAATTTAATAATCACACAAACATTATTACAAACTGTGCGAGTTGCTATAATGGAAAAGTAGAGGGTGCTGTGAAAGTATAGAAAAAGATAACATAACCTAGCCTGGGAGATCAGGGAGGGCTTCCATGAGGAGATGAAATTTAAGCAGAGAGCTGAGGGGTAAGCAGGAAATAACGGTGAAAGGGGAAGGTTGGGAGAAACAGAAGAGAATGTTCCTGACTGAAGAAGTGATGTATGTAAAGTCCTGGAGTTATAAGAGAGTTTATGCTGCTGAGGGTCTTAAAGAAGACCAGTGGGCTGGCTAGACGAGTGGGGTTTACATGTAAGTTAAAGGGGAAAATTGAGGCTAGGCCAGTAAGGGCCACATACCTATGTAAAGTTGGGTTTTATCCTAAAAACAATAGAAAGTTATTTAAACAGGCAGAAAGGCAAAATCAGGTTTATATTTTTGAAGACTACCCTGGCTACAATTGTACAATGCACAATAGTAGGCTGAAAGTGGGCGAAGGTGAGAAAAGAGTCAGGATTCAAGTTAGGAGTATAATGTAATATCCCAAGTAAAAGAGACGGTCGCTTGGAGTTGGGCTATAGAGGAGACAGAAACAGATAGATTGGTGACATATTTATGAGGCAAAAAATATATAGTAGAACTTGGTAGAGAGTAAGGAAGAAATGAAATAAAAATGATTCCTAGGTTTCTGGTTTATACTAGAATGGTGCCATTCATCAAGACAAGTGACAATTAAAGAAGACCAGGTTTATTACAATAAATACCACTGAATGCCTACCATGGGCCAAGCACTGAGGATTCTGAAAGAAAGATAAGTATGTAGATAAGTCTCATATAATGGGATAAAAACCATAACAAGGTTAAGCACTGAAAGAAAAGATGCTCATGCCAACAATGGGGTAGAGTAGGGAAGAGATGGATGGAGAAGACTTTCAGGATTTTCTAACTATATAAAATTATTTTAATAAGAAAAGAATTCTAATCTGCCAAATGAGGGAACTATCTCTACTTCAAAGGAATGCTACCCGAAAAGCGGGTGGGGCTACAGTTGCTGCCTATTTTTTTAAACTTTGCATTTGAAATAATTTTACTTGTAAATTGTTATTTACAATTTTTTTAAATTTAAAATTTATTATTTTTCTTTTTTCTTTTTTTGTTTTAAAGAGACAGGGTCTCAGTATGTTGCCCAGGCTGAAGTGCAAGTGGCATGATCACAGCTCATCGTAGCTGTGAACTCTTGGGCTCGAGTGATTCTCCTGTTTCAGTCTCTCAAGTAGCTGGCACTACAGGTGCATGCCACCATTTCTCAGCCAATTTTTCCATTTTTTGCAGAGATGACGACTCATTATGTTGTCCGGGATAGTCTTGAATTCCTGGCCTCAAGTGATCCTCCTGAGTGCCTCAGCCTTCCGAAGTGTTGGGATTACTAGTGTGAACCATTGCACCTGGCCTGGCATAATTTTAGATATACAGAAAAGTTGCAAATATAGTACAAAGAATTCCTATATACCATCCATTTAGTTTTCCCTAAGGTTAACATCCTATATAACCATGGCATATTTGTCAAAAATCAAAATATTTCCAGTTGGGGAAATAGGAAGAAGCATTCAGGTGGAGTTTTGTGTCCCTTTCACTGTTGCTTTCGTTCTCTAAGCCTGCACTATGAAGGATGCTTTCTCAGGACTTTTTTTTTTTTTTTTTGCAGTAGGGAAGGGTAGGAGAAACTGCCTGGTGGGACTGTGATAAAAGAGCCTGCAAGAGGGTATAAAATCTCCATATATCTAAGGCCATCTGGGGCTTCACTTTCTCTTGCCAGCCCACACTCAGCCTCTACCAACTTATTAACTATCTAGCCCAGTTATTCTTATGGCATTCATGAGTCAACCTTATGTAAGCAAGTGCTCATGTTCCTTTTTTCCTAGCAAGCATCTATCTCTGCTTACATTTCTGGCTATTTGGTTGTCTTTCCACTTCAGTTCTCTGGCAGATTCAAGAAAAGTCATAAGCTTGCAGTTTTCCCAGCTTTATTGTTGTTTCAGAGGTGAAAGTGATGCTCTTTCCAGCTTTCTAGGCTCCAAATGGAAACTGGAAGTCCTATGTTGTTTTTAATCCTAGAATTTGGGTCTAAAAAGTTCTCAAGGGCAATCTAGTTCATTCTTTATTTTACAAGTGAGAATACTAAAGCTCTAAAAGAAATAACTGACTTTTGAATACTTAGTGATGGAGTCAGGGCAATTCTACTTATTTACAAAGTGATTCAGTGTGTGTGTATATATATATATATATATATCTCATATATCACACTACTTATAGATATAGAGTAGATATATATTTACTTATTTACACAGTGACTCAGTATTTGGGGTGACATATAGGAAATCCCGGACATTAAAAAAGTAGAGATAAAATAAAATGAGACACAAGGACCAGTTATAATATAAAATTGAATCAGAGTGGGAGGAATACAAGGATAAAAATTCATGAAAGCAGATTATAAATGTTACATGCAATTATACAGTTGAACCATAAATTGGTGGCAAATTTCCAGATGGCCAAAGTGAAAAGAGAAAGATTATTTTATAGTTTATCAATTAGGGGAATACACACACACACAGACACACACACACACACACAGACACACACACACACACACACACACACACACACATCTCAAGTCAACAGAAGCATTTCCTAGTGCTAAATTAAGAAGTTTCTCTTATATGGCTTCATACAGGGACCACTAAGAAATATAATGAGGCAATACTTTCAATGACAACCCTGTAGCAAAAGTATTGTCCAAGTTTATACAAATGCTGGAGTTAGACCCTGGATGGAAGTGTTCAGTCTTCAAATCTAAATCTATTTACCCCACCATGCAGTCTATACTACAGCAATTCCCTAGAATAGATGTCTATTATGCAAACTGCTAATGAGCACTGGTGACTCAGTTACTATCAAAATAGGTATGTCTGGAGTTACAAAACTTTCAAATTGTAAGAGACCTCATCAACTTGTCCCATCATCTCATTTTGGAAATGAAATAGAACACAATAAATACTTTCATGTGGAAAAATATATATTAAGTATAGGCAAGTTAAATTCCTATCCAGTTTAAAAAGAAGTCTTAAAACCCAGCCAATATAAGATATTCTCTCTTTAGGATGCTACTGATGTCAAAAATAGAACTTTATAAATATTTTAAAATAATTCTCAGGAATCAGAAGCAGAATAAAAGGTAAACAAAAGCCAGCCACAAGTCTTCCTGCACTACTGACAATTTACTGGAGTGAAAAAGGTCAAGATCTAGACAAAAACTGAGAGAAACCATGAAGAAAAAGAAAATGAAGAGTTACTCTAGGGATAAGATTTCCTACAACCACTCAAACGATACAGCTTCACAGTTCCAAGTTTCAAGTCTATGATGAATTTTTATTTAATTGTGTACATCAAGCGGAAAATTAATTTCTAAATCTCTAATTAGCCACCAAAGGCAGAGTGAGCTAGAAAAGACCTAAGCTAGGAAGTAATACATATCTACATATACCAAAAACATTTAAAGAGGCTCCAGTTCATAAGACTATAATTAGAAATAAGAGACTCTCCTAAGACAATAATCTGAGTCTTGCTTTTAAAGAGTCCTGATAGCACGGTGTCTGAAAAGACACAAGATTCATTTTTGATCCTGCTCAAATGTGTTTGCTGCTAAAAGTCCTGAAAGATGACCTCTTTATAATATAATCTTACCTAAAGTGAGTCCTGCATTATGAACCCAGGAGACAGAATTAGAGACTCTAGCTTTCTCTCTTTCAAGAAAAGAAAAGAAAAGAAAAAAAAAGGTGAGAAAATCCGAGTAAAATGAAAATTTTATATAAAATACGTAGATATAACACACACACAGACATATATTATAAACATGAACATCCAGTTGATATTCTTGGGTATCTTGAAATGGAGAAAATAATTTCGCTTCCCACTTGGCATTCTCATGTTTGAATAAAAAAATTTGTGATTAATACTCATGTGAAAATACCCTTATACAAATTAAAAGGAAAAAAATGTTATTTTGAATCTATAATACTGCAGCCTTGCAGTTGGGATGCTGGTTGATCTTAATGAGAGAAATTATTTGATTCAAGCATCAACTAAATAGTAATTAAGATGAACATAAATGCATGAAAAGAAAATTAACTGTATATGACAAGTGCATGCCTCATAGCACCTGTCCTCACATGTAGAAAAGAACATCAGCCTTTGACTGATTATTTCTTTTTGACATGATTTATCACCCAGTATTCTTTAAACTTGATAAAGCAAATTAATCTTTGATTGCAGGCGGCACTGGAGGTTGCCATTAGTCATGTAGTTTGGTGAGGTTCCTTGTGTTTCATTTACCAGGCACACAGAAAGAGAGCCCAGAAGCAATTGCCTCAGCTAGGACTTCTTTCCCAATCCACCCAGGAGAAATGATCAAAGAATTCAATATACGGTATTTTAAATTACTTCTATAGAACTGACCAGTAAAGAGAAAAAGAATTTTCTCTTTACTCTATTTTTATAATTATTTTTTAACCAAGGACAAAGGAAGACTTGTAACTTGTGATTTCAACATTAACAACTCAAAGTGATTTTTGTTTGTTGTGGGGCAAGGGGTCAGGGTGGAGAGTAATTATAATTTTTAAAACTGCTATCTTAAGAAAGCGTATTTAGGAATTGACTACGCAGGAATACAGAAATAGCAAATAAATATTCCATACTGAAAATATTCCCATAGGTTCAGGTACCAAAGTGCTCCAGTTAATTAAAACCATTGTCTCCACCTTTTAAAATACGGAAGAAATATTTTCTAGATTAGTGAATATTCCATCCTAAAGCATTATCCAATTTTTGCTTTTTAAAAAAGTCAGTAAACAATGATAAGAAATCATAACTTTTTAAAATTATTCTTTTTTTTTTTTTTTTTTGAGATGGAGTCTCACTCTGTTGCCCAGGCTGGAGTGCAGTGGCTTGATCTCAGCTCACTGCAACCTGCACCTCCTGGGTTCAACTGATTCTCCTACCTCAGCCTCCCGGGTAGCTGGGATTACAGGTGTGAACCACCATGCCTGGCTAATTATTATTATTTTTTTTTTATTTTTAGTAGAGACAGATTTCACCATGTTGGCCAGGCTGGTCTTGAACTCCTCATCTCAAGTTATCCACCCATCTCAGCCTCCCAAAGTGCTGGGATTACAGGCGTGAGCCACCATGCCCAGCCTTAAACTTTTCTCTTTACTTACTTACTTTTCTGTTTTGGGAATTTAATTTATTTTTATTTTATTTGAGACAGGATCTCACCCCGTCACCCTGGCTGGAGTGCAGTGGCACAATCTCAGCTCACTATAACCTCTGCTTCCCAGGGTCAAATGGTTCTCCAGCCTCAGCCTCCCCTGTAGCCGGGACTACAGGCGTGAGCCACCAACGCCCAGTCAATTTTTGTATTTTTTGTAGAGATAGGGTTTTGCCATGTTGCCCAGGCTGGTCTTGAACTCCTGAGCTCAAAGCAATCCACCTGCCTCGACCTGGGCTTATTTTATAATTTAATATTCAAAAGAGTATTACACTGGCCTAATGCTCACTATTACTCACCCTAATACCTCAGTGTGCAAGAGCAATATTTATTTGACAAAATAACTATTAGGGAAAAATGTTTGGGTTAGAACTTAGGGCTTTCTACTTTTAGTCCCTTACTTAACTGATAATGCCTGTCAGAGACATTTCCCACAACTTCAAAAACAGATTCTTTGACTATGCCAACCATTAACAAATCATCACTTCATATATAATCTGATTATTTCAATGAAAAATTTCTTCAATCTAGCCATAAGTACAGGATAGATATTTGATCCCTCTGAAAGATGATAATCCTTATTAGGCTAAATATTGTATCTTCTAAAATTGCTGGAAAAACAATGTGAACAAACTACTAGCAAACTTAATAAAATCCCAATATTTATGATCATCTCAATTCCCAGTTAGTCTTCATGGAAGGCATTTCTACACCTAAAGGGGAAGAAGAGCCCACTGGGTAATGTATATCCATCTTTTAACAATGGCTTATTTTAGAAAGGAATCCAAAGAATATATGAATAACCATTAAAAACAGCATATTCCATTTAGGACTTTAGGACTTATGCAATAAGTATTCATTTTCAAAAAATAATATTTCATGAAAATTAACTGAGGTAGGGTTAACATCAATGTTTCAAGTATTTATCTTAGATGGTACCATTTGTTCATAGAACAAAATTCATTAAATGATCCAAATGTGCAAATAAAGGCAGTACATGTATAGATACTTAAAAGACCTTTCTCTTAAATAAAATGTAAAAGCAGCTCCTGATGCATTACAATGCACAGCCACAACCTGAAAGCTCAAGTACAATGTTCTTTTTCAAAATAAGAACTGCTAGTGTTCCTACTCCAATGTTTGGGAAATCACATTCACCAGACTCCTGGTCATACATTTAAGCACAAAGAAATACAGTAACTAAGTTTCTGTCAATTTTCCTACCATCTAAATATGAGCTGAAAATTCCGGGTAGCCTATGCCCACATGGGTTTAGCAATTCTATGATCTTTTCAAGCATTTATGAAAATTCTGCAAAAATGTAATTTCCTAAAAACAATCTTTTATTTTCTCTTAGTATATATGAAAGATTGTTGAAACTATAATTTTATAAATAAATTATAAAGAATTAGGAATAAATCTTTACACATAAAGAATTAGGAAACAATCTTTACATAATGATACTTGAAATGCATGAAGTTGGCAAATACTGTCTTGTCACTAATTGCAAACAAAATGTATCAAGTTATTTGGCATTTTTTATAGAAACTTTAAAAAGCTAATTAACTATTAACTATAATAGTCACATCAGAGTTCTGAAAACTGTGTATCTCCTTACAGCAAATTATGTCAGATATAAGCAAATAATATGTGTAAATGTATTATTTTTCAAAAAACATAACTCCACATTATTTTAACATGTTAGCTTAATTTATTAAAAGACAAACATTCAGCCGGGCGCGGTGGCTCAAGCCTGTAATCCCAGCACTTTGGGAGGCTGAGGTGGGTGGATCAAAAGGTCAGGAGTTCGAGACCAGCCTGGCCAAAAAGGTGAAACCCTGTCTCTACTAAAAATACAAAAATTAGCCAAGCGTGATGGCGGGCCCCTGTAGTCCCAGCTACTCGGGAGGCTGAGGCAGAAGAATCACTTGAAACCAGAAGGCGGAGGTTGCAGTGAGCTGAGATCGCGCCACTGCACTCCAGCCTGGGCAACAAGAGCGAAACTCCGTCTCAAAAAAAAAAGACAAACATTCTGACTAATCTCAAGAATTATTTAACAGTTTAGTTGAAACACATTTTCTTCTGGAATAATAAATTACTATAGCTTAGAAAATCAGAGTAAACGAAAAGAGTTGAAAAACTGTCAGTACAGAGTGAATGAAAGGACTTCAAATGAAGTCTTTTTTTTTTCTTGAGATAGGGTCTTGCTCTGTTGCCCAGGCTAGAGTGCAGTGGTGTGATCAGGGTTCACTGTAGCCTCAAACTCTAAGGCTAAAAGGATTCTCCTGCCTCAGCCTCCTGAATAGCTGGGACGACAGGCATGCACCACCATACCTGGTTAATTTTTAAATTTTTTGTAGAGATGGGGTCCCCCTATGTCCCTAGACTGGTCTTGAACTCCTGGGCTTGAGTGATCCTCCCATCTCGGCCTCCCAAAGTGTTTGGATTACATGCATGAGCTACCCTGCTCAGCCCAAATAAACTATTATCAAAACAAATTTTAGTCTTGTCCCTGCAGACAATTAAAAAAAAAAAAACAACTAAAGTCAGAAAAACAACTTGCTCCATAATAATAATTTAAGCCAGCCTTCCTTCCTTTGTTCCTTCCCTTACCTCCTTCCTTCTTTTCTCTCCTTTCTTTCCTTCCTTCCCTCCTTCCTTCCCTTGGGTGGGGGGTAGGGCTTGGAAGAGTAAAGAAGGCTATTTCAGGATAGAATAAATTTAGTAGGACAATTAAAAGTGTCTTTCCCTTTATAAAAACTTTAGTTGTAACTTACATGTTTATTTAAAGCAAGTTCACATGTAAGAATCTATTATTTATATATAAATATACATTTACTGCTTGGCTCCATGGAGAAACTATAAATTTCATCTATTGAACATTAGCAAAAAATTACATGTGTTTATCATCTGGATTATTCTCAGATTAATAGAGATAAATGACAAAACATAATCAGTAGCAGCTCTGCAACTTAATCATTGCATCTGAGCTATAGGAAGCACTTAATTACTCTCATTTACTAGGTTCAATCTAATGAGAAAGCATTAGCCAAATGAAAAGAATGCAGTACAAACAAACAAAATAGTTATACCATCATTAAAAAGAAACTCTGACAGTGCAGGTGACAGCATAGGCAGGATAAATTACCATAATGTTCTAAATGCTGAGCTGTCAGCATGCTAATGCCATGATCAGCTACCCTGGGAATCTCTGCACTATAGCTGTCAGAAACAGGTATCATAAATCACCTCTTTCTACTGTACTGCTCATTATCACAGCTATAGTATACATGTTTTTCAGCATACTTCAGTACAAATTTGAAGGCAACACTTATTCTTATGAGTGGGTCTCTTTACACTTGCACTGTAGACAATCCTTGCCTAATAAATGGATATTTTATTTTGCAATAATGAACTACTGGATCTTAGAACATGATGGGCCTCTGCTTTTAATTCATAAGCCATCTGAATGAACAGACTGCAAAAACAGCACATTTTCCCAAGCTGTACAATACAGTAGCAGTGAGCTAGGTAAATTAACATTATTCCATCTACAGGAATCCCATTATTTGCAAGCTATTTCTGGATCTGGAAAGCAATAGTAGCAGATATAAATAGGAACCACTTGCAATGCTTAGAAACCTTTATGACATAATCTTAATATTTTTAAGGAGAATTTTATATTTTATATGGAAAAAGAACTAATATTTTGAGAGCTTACTACAGGTAATCTCCTCTAATCCTTATAACAGCCTTGTGAGTTAAATATTACTATTGTAAATTTGTAGACAAGAAAGCTGAGGATCTGAGTTTGAAAAATTCGCCCAAAGGCTACTAAGTGACAGAACCATATGTGAACCCAATTCTGTGTAACTGAAAAGTTCATGCCCTTATTATTGCTAGAGTTAGCAAAGGAATTCCAAAGACAAAAGTCTCTGAACATGTGAAACATAACAAATTTCTTTAAATAATCATAAACATGTATACTATAGTTTTATTATAAATAAAATGCTGTAACACTCCTAATTTCTATTCACCAAAAGTAGCTAGAAGGGAAACTAGCTTTTCATCTTCACAACATAACTTGTAATACAATTATACAAAGATAACAGTCAATTTGATGATGTATCTGTATTCTCAAAATACTTCTTAATAAAAAGCACCTGACATATTTTACAAATAAAACGGTGTTTCTACATATATATAAAAAAGTATTTTTTTGGTTGGGTGTGGGGCCGATCACCTGAGGTCGGGATTTTGAGGCCAGTCTGGCCAACATGCAGAAACCCCGTCTCTACTAAAAATACAAAATTAGCCAGGCATGGTGGCGCATGCCTGTAGTCCCAGCTACTTGGGAGGCTGAGGCAGGAGAATCGCCTGAACCCCAGAGGAGGAGGTTGTAGTGAGCCGAGATCATGCCATTGCACTCCAGCCTGAGCAAGAAGAGCGAAACTCCGTCTCAAAAAAAAAAAAAAAAAAAAAAGTCTTTTTAAAGTATTCTGATTGAGCATATTTTAAAAATGTGAGAAAAAAGAAAACATTATATTCAGGGAGAAAAGCTAAATTTCCAAAGAAAATGAAAATGATGAATGACATTTTCTAATAATCTGTTTGCAATTTCTTCTCCTGTGCTTATTCCAAGAGAGTGATATTTCTTACTATAATTTCTTGTATTTCGGTGGGTGGTTAGTGATGGGGGAGGAGAGTGTTCCAAGAATTGTTTTAATGTTCTTATGCAAAGTACAATTTAGTTGTATGCTGAAGCCTCGGTGAGTTTTACTTCAACAATGATATAGTTCTTCCATGCTGTAACCAGAATACCTATTACTGTGAATTTAAGTCCTTCCCTTAACATGTACACCACAGACCATGATTGATTTTCCTTTTAAAAAGTAGAGCCCTGACACCAAATAGATTTGCAAAATGTCCATTTTCTTTTCTCACGTTGCACAAATTAGTTTCATTATTTTTGTAGAATTTTTATTGTTTTCTGGCTCCATCTAATACTATTCATATGATTGTGAAAGATAACAACAGGACTCACTTCTGGGGGCCTATCCTGTTCTAAGCATTCTGCACATCGTAACAGAGAAACTCTACAAGCCCAGAGGGTGGAACTGGACCTGGGTCAGTCTAGGACAAAGTCAGTATGATAACTATGCATGGTAAGGTGTGACTGTGATTTCTTAGATTGTCATGAAGAGAAAATTCTCTATAAATTTCATACTAATTTATTTCTGTGACATAATTTCGCAGAATTGCTCATTGGAAATGGTAGCTTTGGTGGCCACTGGTTAACAGTCCCATTAGACATGATTTAGAAATGGAGAGAAGAGTTCTGAAGCTGCAATGCCTAGCCAAACAGCTAGGCACAGAATGCCTGTCACCTCCCCTGACCCACAGAAGTTGCTCTGGGCTTGACTACAGTGCCAGATTGAAGCGAGTGGTGGCAATACAGGGATGGGTTGGGTCACGGGGTGAGCAGAAGGAAGAGGAAGCCGTTTTCTAAGCTAAAAGTCCACACAGCTTTAATTAATTATAACTTAGCTATCTGAAATATCACCCGAGTCAGGTAGTAGAAACAGATTGCATTTTTGCAACAAATGTGTGGTAAAAGAATTGCTATAAATTGTTTCCTACTGATCTACACTGTAATTTCATGAACTGATACAACTGTATTTTCATTTTGATTAATTTT
Source organism: Homo sapiens (assembly GCF_000001405.40). Lineage (NCBI taxonomy): Eukaryota > Metazoa > Chordata > Mammalia > Primates > Hominidae > Homo > Homo sapiens. The sequence goes on along the minus strand of NC_000005.10, from coordinate 171,129,216 downwards.
CAGAAACAATGACAGCTAGACTTGTTGCTTCATGTCTCTCTACCCATTCTTCCCTCTTTCCCTTTCAACGTTGAGGTTAAGGATTTTAAAAACCTTTAAGACACCAGGCAGGCTCTGTAATAGAGAATGGTGATGGGGGTTGGGGAGAGAGACAGGATAGAGTGCCTATCCTTGAGGAGTTCACAACTAAAGTAGGAACTTAATCTCTTCAACTGTATTATATGCTCATTAAGGGCAGGGCCAGAACTAATTTATTTATACTGGTATTCTTTATAAGCACTCATTAATATCTATTGAAAGAATAAATAGGCAAATATATTAGTTGCCATTTATGTAAGTGTAGAGGGCAGAGTTTTCATTATTGCAATTCATGTCCAAATTTTTTTTGGGGGGGGTCTTGACTATTTTATTTTTTTATTAATAAATAATCATTGTATATATTTATGAGGTACACATGATATTTTGATACATGAATAAAATGTGTAATGATAAAATCAAGATGTTTAGGATATCCAGCACCTCAAACACTTGTCACTTCTTTGTGATGGGAATATTTCAAATCCTCTCCTGTAGCTATCTTGAAATATATGACACATTGTTGGTAGTTATAGTCACCTTACTGTACTATCAAACACTAGAACTTATGCCTTTATATAACTAAGTTTGTACCCATTAACCCCTCTGAGGGTTCATCCCATCCCTTCCCTTTGCAGCCTCTGGTAGCCATCATTCTACTTTAGATCTCCATGAGATCATTTTTTTTAGCTCTCTCATATGAGAAAGAACATGAGATAACTGTCTTTCTGTGCCTGCTTGTTTGACTTAATATAATGACCTCCAGTTTCATCTAATGGAATGAATGGATGCTTCGATGACATGATTTCACGCTTTTTTTCATAGCTGAATGGCATTCCATTGTGTATATATACAACATTTTCTTTATCCATTCATTCATTGATGGATACTTAGGTTGATTCCATATCTTGGCTATTGCTAATAGTGCCGCAGTAAACATGAATGTACAGATGTCTCTTTGATATACTGATATTCTTTTTTTTTGAGACGGAGTCTCACTCTGTCACCCAGGCTGGAGTGCAGTGGTGTGATCTCGGCTCACTGCAAGCTCTGCCTCCCAGGTTCCCACCATTCTCCTGCCTCAGCCTCCCAAGTAGCTGGGACTACAGGTGCCCGCCACCACAACTGGCTAATTTTTTGTATTTTTAGTAGAGACGGGGTTTCACCGTGCTAGCCAGGATGGTCTCAATCTCCTGCTCATGATCTGCCCGCCTCGGCCTCCCAAAGTGCTGGGATTACAGGCGTGAGCCACCGTGCCCGGCCTGATATTCTTTCCTTTAGATAAATTCCCAGTAATGAGATTGCTGAATCACATGGTAGTTCTATTTTTGTTTATCAAGAAACCTCTATACTATTTTTCTACAATGGTTGTACTAATTAACATCCCCAGAGTGTATGACAGTTCCCTTTTCACCTCATCTTTTTCAGCATTTGTTATTTATTGTCTTTTTGATAATAACCATTCTAACTGCGATGAGAAGACACTTCATTGTGGTTTTGATTTGCATTTCATGGATGATTAGTAATAGTGAAGATTTTTTTCATATACTTTTTGGCTATTTGTATGTCTTCTTTGAGAAATGTCTATTCAAATCCTTTGCCCATGTTTTAATAAAACTATTTTTTTTCCTGTTGTTTACATTCCTTGCATATTCTGGATATAAGTAACTTGTCAGATGAATAGTTTGCAAATATTTTCTCCCATTCTGCAGGTCGTCTCTTCTTTGTCTTGTTCCAGTTATTAGAGAAAAGACATTCAACTTTTCCCAGTTCAGTTTGTTAGCTGTGGGTTTGTCATACATAGCTTTTCTTATGTTGAGATATATTCCTTCTGTAACAAATTTATTGAGAATTTTTATCATGAAGGCATGTTGAATTTTATCAAATGTTTTTCTGCATCTATTGAGAGGTTCATATGGCTTTTGCCCTTCATTCTGTTGATGTGATGTATCACGTTCATTTATTTACATATGATGAACCATCCTTGCATCCCTGGGATAAATCCTGCTTGATTATGGTCTATTATCTTCTGATGTGCTATTTGGTTTGCAAGTATTTTGTTGAGGGTTTTTGCATCTATGTTCATCAGAAATATTGGCCTATAGTTTTTATGTTTTCTTGTGTTCTTGTCTGGTTTTGGTATCAAGGTATTGCCGACCTTATAGAATGTCTTAGAAAGAATTCTCTCCATTTCAATTTTCTGAAATAGTCTGAAAAGCATTGGTGTGAGATATTAGATCATCTTTATAAGTTTGGTAAAATTCAGTACTAAAGCCATGCAGTCCTGGGCTCTTCTTTTTTGGGAGACTTTTTATTACTGATTCAGTCTTGTTACTTGTTATTGGTCTGTTCAGGTTTTCTACTTTTTCTTGGGTCAATTTTGGTAAGTTGTATGTGTACAGAAATTTATCCAATTTTGTCTAGGCTTTCCAATTTTGTTAGCGTATTTTTGTTCATAATGGTCTCAAATGATCCTTGGTATTTCTGTGCTATCAGTGTAATGTCTCCTCTTTTGTTTCTGGATTTATTTATTTGGGTTTTCTCTCTTTGGTCCCTGGTTAGTTTAGCTAGCAGCTTATCAATTTTATTTATATTTTCAGAAAACCAACTTTTTATTTCATTGATATTTTGTATTTTTATTTTAGTTTCTATTATGTTTAATTCTGCTCTGATCTGAATTATTTCTGTCCTTCAACTAATTTGGGGTTTGGTTTGTTCTTATTTTTCTAGTTCCTTGATGTGCATCATTTGGTTGTTTATTTGAAATCTTTCTACTTTTTTGATGTAGGAGGTTATTGCTATAAAATTCCTTCTCAGACTGCTGCTATAGTATCACATAGGTTTTGGTATGTTTTGTTTCCATTTTCACTCGTCTCAAGAGTTTTTAAAAATTTCCTTCTTTATTTATCCACTGACCCAGTGGTTATTCAGGAGCATAATGTTTACACTGCATGTATTTGTACAGTTTGCAAAGTTCTTCTCATTACTAATTTCTAGTTTTATCCCATTGTGGTCAGATATAATATGTGGCATAATTTCAATTTTTAAAAATTTACGGCTGGGCGTAGTGGCTCACACCTGCAATCCCAGCACTTTGGGAGGCCAAGGCGGGCGGATCACGAGGTCAGGAGTTTGAGACCAGCCTGGCCAACATGGTGAAACTCCATCTCTACTAAAAATACAAAAAATAGCCAGGTGTGGTGGTGCGCGCCTGTAACCCTAGCTACTCTGGAGGCTGAGGCAGAATTGCTTGAACCCAGGAGGCAGAGGTTGCACTGAGCCGAGATTGTGCCATTGCACTCTAGCCTGGGCGACAGAGCAAGACTCCGTCTCAAAAAAAAAAAAAAAATTTACTGAGATTGTTTTTGTGTGTCTTAACATGTGGCAATCCTGGGAGAGTGTTCCAAGTGCTGATAAAAAGAACATATACTTTGCAGGTATTGGGCTAAATGTTCTGTAAATGTCTGTTAGGTCCATTTGGTCTACAGTGCAGATCAAGTCCAATGTTTCTTTGTGGATTTTTTGCCTAAATGATCTGTTGAATGCTGAAAGCACAGCGTTAAACACCAATACAATAATAGCTGGGGACTTCATCATTCTCTTTAGCCTTAATGGTATTTGCTGTATATATCTCAGTGCTCCACTGTTGAGTGCATATATATTTACAACTATTATATCCTTTTGTTGCACTCATCTCTTTATCATTTTATAATGACCTTCTTTGTCTCTCTTTTTTTTTTTTTTACCCTTTGTTTGATATACAGTTCCTTCTGGCAGCTTTTGGTTACTGTGTGTGTGGAATATCTTTTTCCATCCCTTCACTTTCTTTTTTTTTTTTTTTTTTTGATACATAGTCTCACTCTGTCACCCACGCTGGAGCACATTGGTGTGATCTCAGCTCACTGCAACCTCCACCTACTGGGTTCAAGTGATTCTCATGCCTCAGCCTCCCGAGTAGGTGGGATTATAGGCATCTGCCACCACGCCTGGCTAATTTTTGTATTTTTTCAATAGAGATGGGGTTTTGCCATGTTGACCAGGCTGGTTTTGAACTCCTGACCTCAGGTGATCTGCCCGCCTCGGCCTCCCAAAGTGTTGGGATTACAGGCGTGAGCCACCGCCCCCAGCCCATCCCTTTACTTTCAATCTACGTGTCTACAGGCAAAGTGAGTTACTTGTAGGCAGCATATAGTTGGGTCCTACTTTTTATGTCCATTCAGCCAATCTATATCTTTTAATTGGAGGAATTTAAACAGTTTACATTCAAGGTTGTAACTGACAGGTGATGACTTCCTCCTGCCACTTTATTAGTTTCTGATTGTTTTGTATATCGTTTGTTCTGGTCTTCCTCTTTTGTTGTTTACATTTATGATTTGGTGGTTTTTTTTTGTTGTGATGATGTTTGACTCCCTTCTTTTTTGCGTGTATCTGCTCTACCAGTGAGTTTTATACTTTCATGTGTTTTCATAACAGTAGATACTGTCCCATATAAACATTCCCTTATATGTTAACTGAACACTTTTGTTGTTTTTTGTAATTATCTTTACATTTTTGACTTTTGACAGTTTGACTATGATGTGATCTGGAGAAGACCTTTTGGGTTGAATATATTAGGGGATCTTTGAGTTTCCTGTATCTGGAAGTCTGTATCTTTTGCAAGACTATATATTTTGCAAGATTAGTTTTCAGCTAGTATTTCGTTAAATAGGTTTTCTATGACTTTTCCATCTCTTCCCCTTCTAAAAATTAACAAAATTAGGGTATCTGGTTACTTTATGGCATCTCATATGGTATACTGGGTTTCTTCATTAATTTTTATTCTTTTATCTTTTCTTTCTCTGCCTGTATAATTTCAAGCAACCTGTCTTCAAGTTCAGATATTCTTTCTTCTGCTTGATCTAGTGTATTGCTGAAGCTCTTGACTGCATTTTTTTAAATTTCATTCACTGAATTCTTTGGTTTCACGATGTTGTGCCATCTATCTTTTTGATAAATTTCTCATTGAGATCATGAATTGTTTTCCTGATTTCTTGTTATTGTTTACCTGTGTTTTCTTGTATCTTATCATTATTTTGAACTCTTTTTAAGGCATTTTACAGATTTTCTTTTTTTGGGGATCTGTTACTTTAGAGAATTAATGTGCTCCTTTGGAATTGCCATGTTTCCCTGCTTTTTCATGTTTCTCATGTCCTTATGTTGATATCTCTGCATCTTGGTAAGTTGCTTCTTTTAATTATATAGACTACCTTCCACAGGGAAATAGTTTCTGTAGTGTTGGTTAAGTAGAGTGCTTTGGCTTTTGATTCTGGGGAGGTGCAGTAATGTGCTCCCTGCGTGGGTGCAGTAGCCAATTCCTTTGGCTGTTCCTTACAGTGGTGCCTGTAAGTTCCTCCATGGTTTAGGCCACAGTTGTTAGCGGAGGCTGTGGTGAGGCTTTGCTTAAGATGGGGACACCAGGTGGGTTGGTCCTTAGGCAACCATGCAGTAGCAGGCCATGTTCGCCAGTCCTTGAGCCCCCAGGGAATGCACGTGGGTGCCAATGGTGGGCAGGTACTGACAGGCCAGTCCTTGGGCCTCCAGGTGGTGTGTTTAGAAGTGGCAGTGGCAGTGGGGTGGGCAGTTTATCAACCCTCTAGGCAATGTCTATGACATGAGCAGTGGCAGTAGCAGTGGAAGGGCAACCACCTAACTTAAACCCTTGACCCCCCAAATGACATACATGTGTGCCAGCATTGGCATTGGCAGTTTGGGTGAGCTGGGTCTTGGTAGCTGTGTGTGGGTGCTGGCATCTGGTGTACAAGTGAGGCCAATCCCTGGATGGTACACATAGGAAGCAGTGATGGTGAGCAGGGCAGGTACGTCCTTGGGTCCCTGGATGACATGTGTGGGTACCAGCAGGTGGCATGTGCCTGTATTCAGGTACCTTGGTGGTGCACATGGGTGCTAGCTCTGGTGGGTCAATCTCCAGGGCCTCTGAAGGCACATGCAGGTATGTCAGCAACCCTACCAGTGGAAGGGTCAGGGTTACTGTATATGGCAGCAACACCAGGGAGGCAGTTCTCAGGCTCTGGGGAGTGCATGCTTTGGCTCCCTTTGTCCCAGGGCCACTCTCCTACTCCTGGTGTGCTGCACTGCCTGTTTCATATGGTGCAGAGGACTGCATTAGCTAGAGTTTTGGGAACCTGGCTGCACCACTGGGTCCAGTCAGCATCACAGCACTGAAGCCCTCTGAGTGGACATGGGAGGATGCCAGTAGGGCTCCAGGTATGTGGGGATACAAAGGCTGCTGGGCTCCAGGGCAGAATGTAATCTGGCAGTGGCTGGGCTCCCAAAATGGCACTATGCTGCAGCTGTTTGCAGGGAGGGGTGTGAGAAACAGTACAAACTCCCTCTCTAGAACAATGCCACTGCGTGGACTACAAGTAGCTTCCTATACTACTCTCAGGGCCTCCAAAGGCCAAGGGGCACTCCAATGGCTAGGACTGCAGGAGTCTGCAGTGGGAACATGGACTGTTAGGGATCTCTTGCTTGCCTTTTATTTGCAGTGTGGTGCTCCTCCTGGCTCTGAGCCAATCCTGGCCAGGCTGGCTGCTTCACTTCCTCCTGCTGTGCCTCAGAGGTTCCCTGTCACTTCTGTGCTAAATTCCAGTGTTTTTTCCTAGAAGCTCTATTCAATGTGTATTTATACTTTACTATTTTGGTCTCTTATTTGTGGAGGAGGCGAGTGTAGGGCACCTGTAGTCAGCCATCTTGAAGTCACACCCAAAGCACACTTTCAAACTTCCTTGAAATACACAGGCAAGATGTCAGCAAGATAGCTGACTAGAGACACCTGATGCTCGTTGACTCCAAAAGAAAAAAAACAAGGCAACAAATAAACAGATATGATTTGACTGGAGTGATGAAAGGAGAGCACTAGAGTACAGCAGGGGAGTGCAGACAGACCTGTGGTGACTGGAAGTCCAGGAGGGCAGCATTGAGGCACCAGTGACCTCCGCACTCTATTGTCCCTGTGTGGACTGGATCTGCGTAGAGCCATGAGGGAGGTCCTATTGCAGGGAAAAAGTAAGCAGAAGAACCCCACCAGCCCCCAATGCCACCAAAAACAATGGCAGTCCTTACTACAGGAGAATGCAACAGTCCTCTCAATCCCTGAGCCCAGTTTAAAGTATTGCTGGAAATTCATGCAGCTGCACTGCCCTGAGTAAGGAATACAACTCTCCCACCCTCTACTCACCCCACGCTGCTGTAGCACAGTGCCATCTTGAGATCAGAGGCACCTCTGGAGTGTGCCCTTCTTGGCAGGGGTGGGGGTGTGGTGGGGGTGAGTAACTATTGCACTTATCCAGCACTGCAGCTCCCATCTTCATTTCAGCAAGCCCACACCGGTGGCTGAACACCACAAACCTAGTTGCATGGAGCCTGGTCCCAGGAGTGGCAGTGACTCTGGTCCTGCGCAGTAGGAAAACCACCTCCCACTGTCCTCACTTCTACCCAGAACAACAGTCTGGCAGTCTCACCCGGTGTGAACCCGCCCTTCAGCCTAACAAACTGCTGCATGTTCTGCCCTGAGTGGGAGATCTCAAGCCTCTGAACAGCCAACATGCTACTGGGCCAGCAGAACAGCGAATCAGCCAACTCAGAACCTGAGAAGCAGCCCTGTAGCACCCCAAGCTCTGCAGATAAGTTCCTGACCTGCGCGACGGCCCTGTGCCTGCAACAGGTCCTGAGAAACAGCTCCGCAGGCGCTCTTGGAAGATACAACCCTGTCTGGCAGAGCAGCCTCGCACTTGCGTTCCAGGCCTGAATAGCAGCCCCACAGGCTGCCCCTGGCACACATGCCCTCAGACTGGTGGAGCAGTTATGCACCCATGTCCCAAGCCTGAGAAATAGCCCCAAGGGCCACCCCTGGCAAGCACACCCCCAGGACAGCCGAGCAACTGCGTACACATGCTCCTGGTCAGAGTAACAACCCATAGCCCCAACACCAGCTCCAAGTTGGCAGACCCACTGTGGCACACATATGCTCCTAACATAAGAAACAGCCTTGTGAGCCCACCCTCAGCAAAGCTGGACCACCGCCACCATAAAGTCTCTCATTCTAGGCCATTGAGACACTTGCATACACGACTAGCGTGGATTACAGCTAAAGAAGCTACACAGAATTCACTGCTGCATCCACATAAAACCAAAGCCACCAAACCATAACAAACCCATTCATATGAATAAATCTTTGTCTATCAATGAAAAACTAATTCATACAAGTAAATCATTGTCTGTCAAACCGACTTAATAAAATTGGAAGAGGCAATTTTGAAACCAGATGTATAGAAATCAACCTAGGGACACACCAAACATGAAAAAGTAAGGAAACATAACATGTCTAAAGGAATACAATAATTCACCAGTAACAGACTCCAATCACAAGGAAATATATGAAATGCCAGAAAAATAATTCACAGCAATATTCCTAAGAAAACTCAGTGAGATACAAGAGAATACAGCTAGACAATTCAAGAAAATCAAGAAAACAATTCCCAATTTGAATGAGAAATGCAATTAAGAGACAGAGAGCATAAAAAGAACAGACTACAGCTAAAGAAGTCAATGAGTGAAATGAAAAATACAATTGACAGCTTCACAGTCTAGACCAAGGAGAAGAAAGAATTTCTAAACTTGGAGACAGGCAAAGAGAGGGAAGGACTTTGTATCATGACTTGAGTGCCAGCTTAGCCACAGTAGAATAGAATAGCAGGTAAACTGCTAAGGTTTTTTACTCCAATTCCTGGCTCCCAGACAGCATCTCTGGACATGTGCAGGGAAACTCTCTGCCCTGAAAAGAAGGGCCTTGGGCAAGGCACAATGCTGTGCTGGCTTCAAGTCTGACCCAGAGCAGTTCCAGTGGTGGTGACCAAGAGGGCCTTGAATCACCACACTCCCAGTTCCAGGTGGCTCAGCACGTAGAGAGAGAGACTCCATTTGTTTGGAAGAAAGTAAGGGAAAAGAACAGGAGCCGCTCTGTCTGATAAACAGAAAATTCTTTGGGATCTTATCCAAGACCATCAAGGTGGTACCTCTCTCTCATTTTTTTTTTTTTTTTTTTTGAGACTAAGTTTCGCTCTTGTTGCCCAGGCCAGAGTGCAATGGCTCGATCTCGGCTCACCGCAACCTCCACCTCCTGGGTTCAAGCAATTCCCGTCTCAGCCTCCCGAGTAGCTGGGATTACAGGCATGTGTCACCATGCCCGGCTAATTTTGTATTTTTAGTAGAGACGGGGTTTCTCCATGTTGGTCAGGCTGGTCTCGAACTCCTGACCTCAGGTGATCCTCCTGTCTTGGCCTCCCACAGTGCTGGGATTACAGGTGTAAGCCACCATGCCCAGCCAGGTGGCACCTCTTTTTAAGCATCTGCAAAAACCACAGCATTACTGGGCTTGTGCTCCAAGTCCCTTTGAATACCTAAAAAGCCTTACCAAGGAGAACATACCTCAACATAATAAAAGCCATATATGACAGACCCACAGCTAGTATCATCTGGAATGGGGAAAAATCAAAAGACTTTCCTCTAAGATCTGAGCCATGACAAGGATGTTCACTTTCACCACTGTTATTCAAAATAGTACTGAAGTCCCAACAAAGAAAAGTCCAGGAGCAGATGGCTTCACTGCTTAATTCTACCAAATCTTTAAGGAAGAATGAATACCAAGTCTTCTCAAGCTATTAAAAAAATGATGTGAAGGAAATTTTTCCCAACTCATTTTATAAGGTCAGTATAACCCCGATATCAAAATCAGGACAACAAAAAATCAAAGCTACAGGCCAATATCCCTCATGGACACAGATGCAAAAACCAACAAATGCTAGCAAACTGAATCAAATAGCACATGAAAAAGATAATACACCATAATCAAGTGGGATTTATCACAGGTATGCAAGGATAGTTCAACATATGTAAATCAACAAATGAGATATGTCACATCAATAGAATGAAGGATAAAAAAATTCAGCATCCCTTCATGATAAAAATTCTCAATAAATCTGGTATAGAAGGAAACTACCTTAACACAATAAAGGCCATATATGTCAAACTCACAGCTAACATTATACTGAGTGAAGAAAATCTCAAAGCTTTTCCTTTATAAACTGGAACAAGACAAGGGTTTCCACTCTCACTCTTATTCAACATAGCACTGAAGTCGTATCCAGAGCAATTAGACAAGAGAGAGAAATAAAGGGCATATAAATTGGAAAGGAGAAAGCCAAATTGTCCCTGTTTGCAGATGACATGATCCTATATACAGATAAACCTAAAGACTCTACCAAAAAACATTTAGAACTGATCAATGAATTCAGTAAAGTTGCAGGATACACCCTCAACATACAAAAATCAGTAGCATTTCTATACACAATGAAATAGCTGAAAAAGAAATCAAGAAGGCAATCCATTTTTTGTAGCTACTATTTATAATATTTACAATGCAAATTTACAATACTAGCTACAAAAATACCAAGAAATAAATTTAACCAAGGAGTTGAAAATCCTCTACAAGGAAAACTACAAAACACAAATGAAAGAAACTGAAGAGGATACATACAAAGAAAAAAACATCCTATGCTCATGGATCAGAAGACTTAATATTGTAAAACTGACAATAGTACCCAAAGCAATTTATAGTCAGTGCACTCTTTATGAAAATGCCAATGACATTCTTCACAGAAATAGAAAAAAAAATCCTAAAAGTCGTATAGAAGCACAAAGACCCCAAATATAGCCAAAATGACATCGAGTAAAAAGAATAAAGCTGCAGGCATTAGACTACTAGACTTCAAAATGTAATACAAAGCTGTAGTAAGCTAAACGGTATGGTACTGGCATACAAACAGAAAGATGGACCAATAAAACTGAATAGAGAACTCCCAAATTAATCCAAATTAATGCTGAAGTACGAAACTAGACCTCCAACTCTCACTTTATATGACAATCAACTCAAAATAGATCAAAGACCTAAATGTAAGACCTAAAACAATAAAACTACCAGAAGAAAACACTTCAGGACATTGGTCTGGAAAATATTTTATGCATAAGACCTCAAAATCACAGGCAACAGAAACAAAAGTAAATAAATGGGATTATATCAAATTAAATACCTTCTGCACAGCAAAGGAAACAATCATCAGAGTGAACAACCTACAGGATGGGAGAAAATACTGGCAAACTATTAATTGGCAAGGGATTAATATCTAGAATATACAAGGAACTCTAACGTCACAACAGCAAAACAACAACAACAACAACAACAACAACAACAACAAAACCCCACATATAATCCAATTAGAAAATGGGCAAAGAGGCCAGGTGCAGTGGCTCACGTCTGTAATCCCAGCACTCTGGGAGGCTGAGGCGGGTGGATCAACAAGGTCAGGAGTTCGAGACTAGCATGGTCAACATGGTGAAACCCCATCTCTACTAAAAATACAAAAATTAGCTGGACGTCATGGCGTGCATCTGTAATCCTAGCTACTCGGGAGGCTGAGGCAAGAGAATCGCTTGAACCTGGGAGGCGGAGGCTGCAGTAAGCCAAACCATTGCACTCCAGCCTGGGCGACAGAGCAAGACTCCATCCTCCAAAAATAATAATAATAAAAAAAGAAAATGAGCAAATAATCTGAACAGACATTTCTCAAAAGAAGACATAGAAATGGCCAACAAACATATTTAATCACTAATCATCAGGGAAATGCAAATCAAAACCACAATGAAATATCATCATTTCATCCCATTAGGATGGCTATTATCAAAAAGAGCAAAAAAAATGCTGGTGGGAATGTGGACAAAATACTGTTTATATACTGTTGGTGGGAATGTGACAGTATAGCCACTATGGAGAAAATACGGAGGTTCCTCAAAATACTACAAATAGAACTACCTTATGATTTGACAGTCCTATTACTGGTACTTTATCCAAAGGAAAGATATCAGTATATCAAAGGGACATCTGTACCACCACCCCCGCTGCCATGTTTGTTGCAGCACTATTCATAATAGCCAAGATATGGAATCAGCCTATATGTCCATTCGTGGATAAATGGATAAAGAAAATGTGGTACACATACACAAGGGAACACTATTCATCCATAAAACAGAAGGAAATCCTATCATTCACAGAATCATGGATGCAACTGCAGGCATTATGTTAAGTGGAATAAGCCCAAACAGAAAGTGAAACACTGCATGTTCTCACTCACATGTGGAGGCTAAGAAAGAGTTGGTCTCATAGAAGTAAAAAGTAGAATAGAGAATATTAAAGTCTGGGAAAGGCTAGGGAGAATAGGAAGATAAGGAGAGATTTGTTTAAAAACACACACACGCAAAATTACAGCTAGATAGGAGGAATAAATTCTAACTATAGTAGAATGGCTATAGTTAACAATAATATATTATACAATTTTAAATAGAAGATATTGTATATTACCAAGAAATGATAAATGTTTGAGATGATGGATATGCTAATAATCCTGATCTGATCACTACACATTATATGTATCACAACATCTCTATGTGCCCCATAAATATGCACAATTATTATGTGTCAATTAGAAAATGTTTTAAAACATTAAAATGAGAAAAACGAATTTTAAAAAAAGAAATCAACAGGCTAGTAAGACAGTGCTCAGGACTCTGGCCATTACACCAGTGTTATTAATATTTTAATTCCCATTCTTTGAATACTTCTCCCCGTCCTTCCACCATCCATCATCATTTTGATAAACATAAAGTTTTCAAATCACCCCAGAGATTCTGAGTCCCTCTTTGTAGAAGATGGGAGGGCAGGGGCAACTTGCCCCTTCCCCAGAAAAAAAAAAAATCACAGTATCTTTACCAGTCAGGAATATTTCATTGAGTTTTATTTCAGTAATAGCTGGTGTTATAAAAATACATTTTTTATTTTCCAAAAATTAGCAATACATTGTATACTTTTCTAACTACAACTCCCTCCTCCTCTAACAGGAAGTAATACCAAGCCAAGAAATCTTAAATTTACCTGTCTTTAATTCTCTCTACAAGAAGTTAGTAAAACTCATCATTATTCTATACAACATTTATAAATTCAAAACAAAGTCACAATTTCATTAAAATGTACCTCTTTATTCATGTCCATTTTTACTGGGCCCTAGAAACTCCACATAATCTAAATGGCTGGGCTAGGACTCAGATACCGTTCTAGGTTAGCATGACACTGTGCATCTCAAAAGATGTTATTAAGTTTTAGGTAATACCAAGTTCATACTTCATTAGAATAAAACTTTTAGTAGTAAAAATTTTGCTAGCAAGTTTTAGATTTTTAACTTTGTTTCTGGACAAACTGTCATCTATGAATTCTAAGCTAACGATATTTACCACACGGGAGTCCCACTTCCCCTTTCCTGTGAAATACCAGTAATGTGATACTTGTTGGAATCCCGTTAGATTGTGCACTAAGTATATAAGTAAGGCAGACCTACAAAGCATTCCTAGCTGCAAAAATTTAAACTGCGATCAGTTCATTCGGCATAAAAAGGGGTATACATCCACTGTAATATTTGGATATGTAGTCTAGTTATTTAAAATCTATACCTACATGTTTCACAACTTTCTGGGAAATTTAGGATACTGTTCTTTTTGATGATCACATGTACAAACTCATGGCAATTAACTTTATCTTAGAGTGAACAGTCTCTGTGTCCACTATATACATAGACAATATTATCTTTTATCTTGAGAGAGATTAGAAATAGAATAGTCATTGTTTTATGAAATACTTTATCATTGTATTAGATCTCAATAATTTCCATTTCATAATGGGAGTAGAATTTGCTAATATACTATACTCATATCAAATAGGCTACCTTTTATTCACGTAGAATCAATGATAATCATCATTCATCAAGAACAAAAAAGATGCTATTTTTAAGAAGTTTAGTAGTAGCTTGGCAAAAATCTCTTTCATTTGTTTTCTTTTTTTATCTCCCCTAACATAAAGTTTTTGTTTTTTTTTGTTTTAGAGACAGGGTCTTGCTCTGTCACCGAGGTTGGAGTGCAGTGGCATAATCACAGCTAACTGCATTCTTGAACTCCCGGGCTGCAATCATCCTCCCAAGCAGTTGGGCCTATAGGCGCACACCACCATGTCCAACCATTTTTTAAATTTTTTGTAGAGACAGGGTTTCACTAAATTGCCATGGCTGGTTTCAAACTCCTGGCTTCAAGTGATCCTCCTGCCTTGGCTTCCCAAAGCGATAGGATTACAGGCTTGAGCTACCATACTTGGCCACTCATAAGATTTTTAAGAACCAAGACCACATTTAGTCTGTGTCCCTAGTACTTAAGCAAAGGGTCTGGCATATGATTAACAACTGTTTGTTAAATGAAATAAACAGTTCTGTTAGAAACCATCTAGTGTGCCATACTCTATAATGCTTCTAAAATGCTGGCAAATATATTATTCAATAAACTGTATTAAAACATTCAGCCTTTTCATTATCTAAGAAAGAAAACAGAATATTCCCTCTTTGTGGCTGGATAAACTTTTGGAGGTAGTGATATACCAGTTGTCATACCAGTGATATACTGAAATATAAACATTTATACCCAATCTGCTTTAATTATAAAATCATTCTATGTATTTCATAAAAATTAACTTTAAAAGTGACTCAAGTACACCAGAATCATGATATTCTGGTATGTACTGTAAGCTCCTGGAGCAGGTAAACAGGGTCAAAGAATATACAAAGGTCTCAAGTATTACTGCTAACAATTCTGACAACTTGTAAGGAAGGCTTTTCTTAACAGAATGGCTGGACTGTCTGAAATTGGGAGGTTAACTTAAAAAATACAAAATGTATGCCAAAAGAAAGGTTCTGAAATATGAGGTTCTGAAATATGAGGAAGGTTCTAACACTGTAGAGTAGCAGTTCTCAAACTTTTTGTACATGGACGCTTTGGTAATTTAAAAAAATTCCTGAAGAACCCAGGAAGCTTTTATTTATGTAAGTTCTATCAATTGATATTTACCATATTAGAAATTAAAACTGAGAATTAAAAAATATTAATTTATTTTAAAATAATAAATGTATGGCATGTTAATATAAATAATACATTTTTGTGAAAAAGCTGTATTTTCTGAAACAAAGCCTTTTTAAATTAGAGTGGTGCTGTTTTACATTTTATAAGTTTCTTTCATATCTGCTTCTGCATTCAATCTGTTGTGATATAATGACATAGAGCTTCTAGAAAACTTCACTGTACATTCATGAGAGTGAAAAAGGTAAATATTATTCTAGCATTATTTTAAAAGTAGTTTTGATCTCACTGACTCCCTGAAAGGGTCTTGGGGATCTCTAATAAGTCCCTGAAACTCACTTTGAGACCTCCTGGCACAGAAGTTAAAATCACACATTCTAGACTCAAAGTGCCTAGGTCTGAATCCTAGCTCCTTTTTTTATTAGCTATGTGAACTTCAGGATATCACTTAACTTCTCTAGGACTCAATTTCCTTATCTGTAAAATGAGGGTTAATTATAGCACCTACCTTGGAGGAACCACTGTATAAATTAAATAATTTATTTCAAGAGCTTGGCTTGGTATATAATGATATTGGATAATAATACGACAGCTAAGATTAAAATATCTATTACATTATAAGAGTTAATGGTATTTGTCTGGAGCATGTCTGTTCCATGTCTGGAACATAGGAGGTACTAAAATTTTTGTCAGTAAATGAATGAGTTAATGGATGAATGGCTGTTCACACACAATGACTGCATTCCCATCCCAAGAGTAATATAATTTTTCTCTATTTGTAAGTTGTAGTAGCACGGGTAATAATTGCCAAGAATGCTCAAATCTAAACAAATTAACCATTGGTAGTTTAGTAGGCAGGGAAAAGATGTGTGATCACATGAAGGGCAGATGATGTGACAGTGACTATTTCAGCAGGAGATTGTTTAGTGATACATCTTCAGATAGATTTGCAACCTGCAGTTTGGGTGGGTTCCCTGATTACAATTATGCTGTACACATGCTATATGGGGAAGCAGGAAGAAAGAAAGAAAACCAGCTTTTATTAAGTATCTACTCTATGCCAGACATGATTCTGAAGTAGGGATTTTTATCCCCAAGTTTTAAAGGGGAAGCCAAGACTCTGGCAACTTATATAACTTTGCTTGTGGGCATAGAGCTAATACTTGACAAAGCCAAGAAGGCCCTGGATTTTTCCTACTTTGTTTCTTGCACTATCTCTAAAATTTTTTTATAGAGCTTTGTTTAATTCCTCACAAATTATATATCTTAATAAATGTTTACAGGATAAAAATGGCAGATTGTGTCCCAACAAAAAAGGCAGATACTTAAAAGGAAAGTAAGATTATACCATGGAAACAAAGGATATTATGCTGCAAGCAGGTCATTGTTACCACAAGCAGACAATACTATTTGGTTATAAGAACTCTTTAAGAGAAGTTAAGACAAAATCACCTCTTGTTCTGCTGTTCCTTTACCAGATCCGTCAATCAGTGTTTCCTTTTTCATGAGTCTGGTGACAGTCTATAAACCTCCTTTTAAAGAGTTCATATAGCCAAAATAGTATTGTCTGTCTGTGGTGACAATGACCTGCTTGCTGCATAATATCCTTTGTTTCCATGGTATAATCTTACTTTCAAGTATTTACCTTTTTTTTGTTTGTTTGGACACAATATGCCATTTTTATCCTACAAACATTTATTGAAGATATAAAATTTTCAAGGAATTAAACAATATTTTACAGATAGTGTAAAATTTTACACTGAAAAAAATTTTACAGATAGTGCAAGAAACAAAGTAGGAAAAATCCAGGCCCTTCTTGGCTTTGTCAAGTATTAACTCTATGCCCACAAGCAAAGTTATATTGAGGACAACTGTTATCCCTGCTCACCAAGCATTAACTAACTCTTCTGACTCCATGTATCCACCATGGCTCACAATCATGAACAGAAGTAAGAACAATAAATAAAAAAACAAGTTATTAGGAGAATAATGATAGTTGTGATGGTGAGGACAAGATGACTTTGCTATGTATAATAAGAACAGAAGAATAACTAGCCATACATATTATTTTATAAAAACATTACCCATCACCTGTAATTTGCTATTTTTCCATCAAGTTTACTTTTTCATTCAGTGTTTCCTGGGTGTCTGCCATTTTTCTGGGCACTAGAGGCACAGAGATAAATAAGGCATGATCCCTAAGTATAAGTGGCTCATAACCTAAAGGGGACCAGAGACAAGGAAATAGACAATTACCATAAAGTATGATAAATTCTTTGATTGCTTTGTTCTATGTGTTAAGCCAATTTGGAGGAATACCTAATGCAGAGAAGAAATCACAGAAAGTTAGAGAGCATTCCAGAGAAAAGGAAGAGCATGTAGGAGGGCCCAAAAGTAGTGAAGGAGCACATCAAAGAGTTACAAATAATTCAGCAAAGCCAGTGAGAGGTGGAATGAATATAGCTCAGAACCCCTGTTTTGGGCTAGGTCTTGGAGGTCTGGGTTTCACTTTGAAAGAAATGGGGCTCACTGAAAGACTGACACTTCAGAGAGACTGCACTAACAGCTCTGTCTAGGATGTCTGGGAAGGGGAAAGCCAAGACTAGAATTAGGGGAACCCATTAAGAGGTAGATGGGAAATAAAGGTCTGAATTGTGGCAGAAGGGAAAAGAAAAAAGCAAAGGTTTTCAAAAGAACATAGGAAGATAAAGCATCCAGATGACTTCCACATCTTTCATTTTGTGACTGAGGTAAGAATGACATTCACTTAGCAAAAGGGAGAGAAGTCTGGGGAGAAGCTGAATGGTTATATCTTAGAAATGACTGAGTAAGAAAGATGAGTAGCAGAATATGCTACTCCAAAATATGCTACTTTGGCATAAAGAATATTTTGAGTTAACGGCACTGAAAAAACAGCAGATACAAGAAGAATACTCTGACCTTTCTTTTTCTTCCTGAAAGCAGATCAAACTCTCAAGTGAAAGAAACTCTCCCTGTACCAGTAGGAAGAAAACACATGGACAAAGGAAGGGGAATATCACACTCTGGGGACTGTGGTGGGGTGGGGGGAGAGGGGAGGGATAGCATTGGGAGATATACCTAATGCTAGATGACGAGTTAGTGGGTGCAGTGCACCAGCATGGCACATGTATACATATGTAACTAACCTGCACAATGTGCACATGTACCCTAAAACTTAAAGTATAATAAAAAAAAAATTAAAAAAAAAAAAGACATTCTTATTACCAGAGAGGGGAGTCCAGGTAGAGAAAAATCTATAAAGAGACTCTGTTAAACTAACCTTTATCTTCCTAGTGACTTTTCCAAAATGAACTTCCCTGTCTCATCACGTTTCTACAATTTAATACTCTATATCTAACCTAGTATATAACCTTTTGGCCCTGTTCTTTTTGATCTTCATTTTTCTTGTCAAGGCTCCTGTATACATGTAAAAGTTATTAAGTAAAATTTGTATGCTTTTCCCTTGGTAATCTGTCTTTTGGTAGTATAATGTACAGGGCCACAGTTGGAAAATGTAGAAGGAGTAGAGGGAAAAGTTTTTGCCTCCCCTATAAAGCTCATGAGACATACAGATGGAGACACAGAGAAGGAAGATAGATATGACGGCTAAAGGGCTAGTGAACGGTGAGCAGTAAACCAACAGGCTGTGCACTATGCTACAACACTAGAAGGGCTATGCTCAGAAGAGAGCGGACAAGGTTACAGCACTCACAGCATTATGTGATTATGTGTTTACTTAAACTCCAAATATATTATTATTAATATATAATTAATCTTCATATCAATCCTATAAGATAGGTTCTTGTACCCATTCTACAAATGAGGAAACCGAAGCCTAAGAGTATAAATATTTGTCCAATGTCACAGAGCCACAGAGCCAGGAAGTAACAGAGTTGGAATCTGAACCAGGCAGTCAGGCCTTACACACTATGCTATGATGATACTGATAAACATATCAGAAAAAAAAATTTTATATGATAAAATATATAAATAAGAAAAAAGACATAATACTACCACTTCTAAGTGACCACTGTTTACATTTTAGTATACTTCCTTCCAGTCTTTCTCAATAACCCTCATCTCACCCCTAAATATGCAATTTTCTAACCTGCTTTTTAACTTTTAAGGTAACAGTTTCCCAAGTTATTAAAACTCTATCCTATCATCATGTTAATACCTATAATATTTCTTCAAAGTGATGTACACAATATACTCAACCAATGCCTTAGTGTTGGATATTCATGTTCTCAATTTCTCACTATACAGTTGGACCTTCTATAGATTCAACCAATCGCAGATTGAAAATATGGGGAAAAATGGATGGTTGCAACCGTACTGAACATATATGGACTTTCTCTTTGTCATGATTCCCTAAACAATATAGTATAACAAGTATTTACGTAGCATTTACATTGTATTAGTTATTATAAATAATTTAGAGATGATTTAAAGTATGTGAGAGGATGTGCACTAGTTAAATGTAAATACTACACCATTCTATATAAGTGACCAAAGCATCCATGGATTTTGGTATCTGTGGGGTGTCTTGGAACCAATCCTACACAGATACTGAGGGACGACTGTCATTTCAAAACAATATGCATAGTCAAATTACAATTAAAACTTCAATAAATAAAACCTCAGTGCAACTTTTTTCTAGAAATAACTTCTAAGGCATATTTGATTTTAATAAAACATTATTTCTAAAACTAATAGGGTAAGTTAACAGAATAAACAACTATAGCTTAAAAACAAACAGCTGCTTAGTTTGAGCAGTTATCTTTAAACTATAATAGATAATTTGAAATTCATAAAAAAGGCAAATTTCCTACTTAACCGCAAATATAATACATTGATGTGTTAATATAAAAATGTGGCCGAGTGGATTAAGGTCTACATATTCCATATTTTAAAAATTTGTATTTTTCCAAGGCATTTTTGACCTGTATACCGTTTTCTGTGTCACACAGCCATGCATTATCACATGGGCTTGTGGTAACCAGACATATTCATTTTTCCTTTTATTTCTTATAGAGTTACCAGTGATGTGTATACCTGTGTGATCAGCTTCAGTAGTTTTGGTTTGGGATAGGGGCTCCTCAAGTGGCAGAGAAAATTCTGTCCATTGGTATATTGTTTTTGTTTTTTAATAAAGTTTGCCAGAACAACAACAACAAAAAAGGCAAACTTCCCTTCATTTGGACTGGCAATTAATATTTTCAGTTTTACCTGATTAACAAACATTCTAGCAAGTTTTTCCAAAAAAGCAAAATTCAGTCAGCCATTTTTCTGATACTATTTTATTTGAGTGAAATACTGTATAGAAAAAGAAGACACAAAAATTTTAACATCTGGGGGTGGTGGCTCATGCATGTAATTCCAGCATTTTTGGAAGCAGAGGTGGGTGGATCACTTGAGTTCAGGAGTTTGAGACCAGCTGGACATCATACGGAGTCTCCATCTTTACAAAATATAAAAAAATCATCAGGGCGTGGTGATGCACGGCTGTGGTCCCAGCTGTTTGGGAGGGTAAGGTAGGAGGACGGCTTGAACCGAGGAGTTTGAGGCTGCAGTGAGCTGTGTTTGTACCACTGCACTCCAGCCTGGGTGACAGAGTGAGACCTCGTCTCAAAATAAATAAATAAATAAAATACATGATTTCACTTGAACTTTAATTTTTTAGACTTATTTTTAAAGTATGTTGATATGCTATGTGTGAGTTTTTTTCTAGTAAAATTTGACATATGTAACTCTAAAAGTCCCCTTATTAGTTGCACTGCTTCATACATAGGAAACTGAAAAACAATACTGAAAATTAAGACCCTCCCCCACCTCAAGAAAAAACCTGAACAACAGCTGTTGCTTATAGAACTGTTTGGCAAATAATCTCTTTCCAAAAGCAAAAAACAAAATTATTTGTTATGACATTTCTATTTGTCAAGCACACAACAGGCAGATGAGTAAATTATAATATCTATCACCAATAAGCCTTCTTTGAATATCAATCGACTCTAACCATAATTGATAACCTAAGCCAATAGAACATTCTGCTACAATTCCAAGTTCAAAAGGTTAATTATGGCCTGGCCACAGGCTCATCCAGAAACCTGAAACTGATTGCTCTGTGCCTTCCTAATGAAGATGTACGGCATGTATTATAGGAGCATAGTGGTAAATGATTGGGACCTCCAACATCAATGCAGCAAGCACGCATTAACCTTCACCATATCAATTTAACTGTCATTCTCACAGTTTATATCCTAGAAGGTCTTTTTATTCCATGACAAAGAAAGCGTCTGATAACCATATTTCCCTTGTAAGGCAAGATTTCCCTTTTCATTCTAATAAATATAGAAATCAATAATAGTAAGTGAATTCAAACTATGTTATGAATTAACAACACCCAGGAAAGTTAAGAAGAGACTAGAGTCATGATGGGTGTTCTCATTTGTCACCAAAATCTTTAATTTGCATGTAGATTTACTGCCCTAGCACAGAGGGCATGAGAAAAGTATCAGCATCTTTTCCTTCTTAGAGGCACTTACACTGCTTGCTTTCTTACTCACAGGCCAAGAAAAAAAAAATGGCAGGCTGAACTATAAGCATCCACTCACAAATAAGAGCAATTTAACAAACTTTGTTGCTTGCACTCAATACTCACTGCCAGTCTGAGGAAGAACAGGAACTAGGGATGCTCTAGAACAGAGTCGTAGGGACTAAGATCTTCAATATAGTATAGTTCTGAACATATCATGTGATACTAACTAGCAACAAACTAATTCCTTTGATACCAGGCAACAGAGAAGAAGAGCAGTGTAATAAAATGAGTACTAGAATGTGAGGCTGACCATGTAAAGGCTGTGTTCTTTACTGTCTGTGTGGCCTTTTAACAAACCACATAGCCCTTCTGTTTTTCTCCTGTAAAATGAGAATAATAATTCCTGCTTTGTCTATCTTATAAAATAAAAGCTTTCAACCATGGCTACACACCATAAACATGTTGAACTCCAAAACAACAACAACAACAACAAACAAACAAAAGATACGTGGGTCCTAAACCCCAAGAAATTTTGACCTAATTGGTTTAGGATGGGGCCCAAGTATGAGTATCTTTTGATGGCTGTTCAGAAAAAATTCTAATTTTACTTTTTAAACTTTTAGTTATGTAAATGCTCAAACATATACAAACATAATGGAAATATATTACCAAGTGTCAGTGATTAGCAATATTTTGCAAATCTTACATCATCTATTTCCCCACCCCCAAACATTAAAAAAAATTTCCATTGGGACATTTTACAGCAAATCCACAGTGTTATTTTTACAAAACTTCCTCGTGTGATTATATTGTAAAACCAGTATTGAGAACCATGTGAAGATTTTGAAAAAATTTTTCCAAGTTACAAAGTTAACAATAAAGACAAATCGATGCCCAAATGGATTATCAGGCTCCAAGTCTGACTTGATTGACCAAGTCAACAGAATAAAATATTTAGTTTAATGAATACTACTTCCATCATTTTCCTCCTCTGAACTGACTAGTTTCTTCACAAAACAGACCCTCTAACTGGTGGGCTATATAGTGCAAAAAAGTTACATCTAGAAAAATCTCATTCTTCTCTAACACCCAGTATTCTCATTCTATTCCCCTATCTTATAGTTCCTCAAACATGTTGCTCTCACAACCTGGAAAAATTTACCCCCTTCCCCTCCTACCTTCCATCTACCTAGCCAACTCCCACTTCATCTTCAAGGCCCAGAATAGATATCAATATTGTGAAGACTTCTGATTCCTCTCTCCTGTCTGTCCTACCTTCCCCAAGCCTGAGGAAAGTACTCCTCTTAAGGGCTGCTGTAACCTTGTGTTTACCTCAGTCACAGTACTGTTTTTTGTCAGTCTCACCAATGAGTACAGGATTCTTAAACGTAGTGGTTATTTCACAATGGATCTATTCCACCATGGTCACCCAATTTATGAATATTTCCATTTTCAAAATTGTATGTCAGTCACTTTCTCTAGGAAACAAATTAGGTTTGCACAACAATTTGCTTACCCAGCTTACTAATGTGTAGAACAATTTACCCCTTGCAGTGCACATCAATTGATGGCCTAAAGCAACAATCAGGGGTGACTGCTTCTCTGACAAAAAACAAATAAAGGTAAGAATGTATAATAAATCCTAATCATATTTTTTTCCAACAATATCCCCACAACCTCAGAATGGTCTGCTGCAGAGAACCTTGGTTTCTGTATCAGACTAATGTCTAAAAAAACTGATTCTAAAAATATAGGCTTTTGCAAGTCAAAGATATAAGATAGAATAAATTTTTTTTTTTCTTTTTGAGACAAGTTCTCACTCTGTCACCCAGGCTGGAGTACAGTGGTGTGATCACAGTTCACTGGAACTTCAAACTCCTGGGCTCAAGTGATTCTCTTATTTCAGCCTCTTAAGTAGCCAGTACTACAGGGTGTGTGCCACCATACCCACTCAGCTAATCTTTTAAAAATATATGTATATATATTTTTGTAAAGACAGGTTTTTGCTATGTTCCCTGGGCTGGTCTTGAACTCTGGGCTTAAGTGATCCTCCTGCCACAGCCTCCCAAAGTGTTGGGGATTACAGGTGTGAGCCACCATGCCAGTCCCAGGAAAATTTTTTTTTTTTTTTTTTTTTTTTTGAGACGGAGTCTCGCTCTGTCGCCCAGGCTGGAGTGCAGTGGCGGGATCTCGGCTCACTGCAAGCTCCGCCTCCCGGGTTCACGCCATTCTCCTGCCTCAGCCTCCCAAGTAGCTGGGACTACAGGCGCCCGCCACTACGCCCGGCTAATTTTTTGTATTTTTAGTAGAGACGGGGTTTCACCGTTTTAGCCGGGATGGTCTCGATCTCCTGACCTCGTGATCTGCCCGCCTTGGCCTCCCAAAGTGCTGGGATTACAGGCGTGAGCCACCGCGCCCGGCTGGAAAATTTTTTAAATAAAGAAAATTGTTTTATCCTCTCCAAAAGTTTTAATTTAAAGGTACTCACAACATGCTAAGAAGCAAATTTTATCAACGTACAATATGTAATAAAGGCCATCATTTATATAAATACACTCCCTGTGATTATTTCCCAATGACTTTTCCTTGGTGTAGGGGACCAATGGAAAAATTAAATCACTATATTCAAAGTTGATAATAATATTTGTAATAGCAATGACAACATCATCAACAGAAACATCCAATTTTAACTAACTCTTAACAAGCATCTTCTATATGCGAGTTATTGAGCTAAGCATATTATCTCTATCCTCACATTAGACCTATAAGGTAAGTATTATTATTCCCATTTTATGGCAAAAGTGAAGCTTAGAGAGGTTCTTTAGACAAAAGAAATTTGCCTAAAGAAAAAGAGCCAGTTAGTAGCATGACTGAGACTAAGTTTGTCTAACTACTTAGTTCAAGCTCTTGACCACTATCATTATTCAAAAGCAAAGATAATGCTCCTAACAGGTCATTTCTGTTCTGTGGAAAATAGTTCAGAGGTATAACTGTTACTCAACCATTGATGTAATGTGGCAATGAAGCAGAAGTAAAAAGGCAACATTCTGGATAGTCTTATATTTCACCCTCTACATGAAAACTATTTTGACTATTGCATTTATGTTCTCTTTCTGAGTGAATGAATTGCAGGGTGCTGAAAAATCAAGTTCATAACTGACATATGTAAGATAATTAAAGAGGACAGGCCAGGCGCGGTGGCTCACCCCTGTAATCCCAGCACTTTGGGAAGCTGAGGCGGGCGGATCACCTGAGGTTGGGTGTTCGAGACCAGCCTGACCAACATGGAGAAATCCTGTCTCTACTGAAAATACAAAATTAGCCGGGCCTGGTGGTGCATGCCTGTAACCCCAGCTACTCGAAAGGCTGAGGCAGCAGAATCACTTGAACCCAGGAGGTGGAGGTTTCAGTGAGCCGAGATTGTGCCATTGCACTTCAGCCTGGGCAAAAACAGCAAAACTCCAACTCATTAAGAACACAACAAACAAACAAACAAAAAGCTCCCAGCGAGGCCAACACAGAATGCAGGTGATTTCTGCATTTCCGGCTGAGGTACCTGGCTCATCTCATTGGGACTGGTTAGACAGTGGGTACAGTCCACAGAGGGCGAGCCGAAGAAGGGTGGGTGGGGCACCACCTCACCCAGGAAGTGCAAGGGGTTGGGGACCTCCGTCGCCTAGCCAAGGGAAGCCCTGAGGAACTGTGCCTTGAGGAACGGTGCACTCCAGCCCAGATACTACGATTTTCCAGTCTTTGCAACCCACAGACCAGGAGATTCTCTCGGGTGCCTACACCACCAGGGCCCTGCGTTTCAAGCACAAAACTGGGTGGCCATTTGAGCAGACACCTAGCTAGCTGCAGGGTTTTTTTTTTCATACCCCACTGGCACCTGGAACGCCAGTGAGACAGAATCATTCACTCCCCTGGAAAGGGGGCTGAAGTGAGAGAGCCAAGTAGTGTAGCTTAGCAGATCTCACCCCCACGGAGCCTAGCAAGCTAAGATCCCCTGGCTTGAAAATCTCGCTGCCAGCACAGCAGTCTGAAGTCGACCTGGGATGCTTGAGCTTTGTGGGGGGAGGGGAATCCACCATTACCAAGGCTTGAGTAGGCAGTTTTCCCCTTACAGTGTAAACAAAGCTGCCAGGAATTTTGAACTGGGTGGAATCCACTGCAGCTAGGCAAAGTCGCTGTAGCCAGACTGCCTCTCCAGATTCCTCCTCTCTGGGCAGGGCATCTCTAAAAGAAGGGCAGCAGCCCCAGTCAGGGGCTTATAGATAAAGTTCCCATCTCCCTGGGACAGAGCACCTGGGGGAAGGGGTGGCTGTGGGTGCAGCTTCAGCAGACTTAAATGTGCCCGCCTGCCGGCTTGGAAGAGAGCAGCAGATCTCTCAGCACAGCGCTAGAGCTCTGATAAGGGACAGACTGTCTCCTCAAGTGGGTCCCTGACCCCTGAGCCTCCAGACTGAGAGACACCTCCCAGCAGGGGTCGACAGACACCTCATGCAGGAGAGCTCCGGCTCGCATCTGGCCGGTACCCCTCTGGGATGAAGCTTCCAGAGGAACAAACAGGCAGCAATCTTTGCTGTTGTGTAGCCTCTGCTGGTGATACCCAGGCAAACAGGGTCTGGTGTGGGCCCCCAGCAAACTCCAGCAGACCTGCAGCAGAGGGGTCTGACTGTTAGAAGGAAAACTAACAAACAGAAAGCAATAGCATCAACATAAAAAAAAAAGGACAACGAAGCAAAAACTCCATCCGAAGGTCACCAACATCGAAGACCAAAGGTAGACAAATCCACGAAGATGAGGAAAAAAACAGCACAAAAAGGCTGAAAATGCCAAAAACCTGAATGCCTCTTCTCTTCCAAAGGATCACAACTCCTTGCCAGCAAAGGAACTAAATTGGACAGAGAATTAGTTTGACGAATTGATAGAAGGAGGCTTCAGAAAGTGCGTAATAACAAACTCCTCTGAGCTCAAGAAGCATGTTCTAACCCAATGCAAGGAAGCTAAGAACTTCAATAAAAGGTTAGAGGAATTGCTAACTAGAATAACTAGATTAGAGAAGAACATAAATGACCTGATGGAGCTGAAAAAAACAGCACGAGAAGTTTGTGAAGCATACACAAGTATCAATAGCCAAATCAATCAAGCGGAAGAAAGGATATCAGAGACTGAAGATCAACTTAATCAAGTAAAGTGTAAAGACAAGATTAGAGAAAACAGAATGAAAAAGAATGAACAAAGCCTCCAAGAAATATGGGACTATGTGAAAAGACCAAACCTACATTTGCTTGGGGTACTGGAAAGTGACGGGAAGAATGGAACCAAGTTGGAAAACACACTTCAGGATATTATCCAGGAGAACTTCCCCAACCTAGCAAGACAGGCCAACGTTCAAGTTCAGAAAATACAGAGAAAACCACAAAGATACTCCTTGAGAAGAGCAACCCCAAGACACATAATCATCAGATTCTCCAAGGTTGAAATGAAGGAAAAAATGTTAAGGGCAGACAGAGAGAAAGGTTGGGTTACCCACAAAGGGAAGCCCATCAGGCTAACAGTGGATCTCTGCAGAAACCCTACAAGCCAGAAGAGAGTGGGGGCCAACATTCAACATTCTTCAAGAAAAGAATTTTCAAGCCAGAATTTCATATCCAGCCAAACTAAGCTTCATAAGTAAAGGAGAAATAAAATTCTTTACAGACAAGCAAATATTGAGGGATTCTGTCACCACTAGGCCTGCCTTACAAGAACTCCTGAAGGAAACACTAAATATGGAAAGGAACAACCAGTACTAGCCACTGCAAAAACAAATCAAAATGTAAAGACCACTGACATTGAAGAAACTGCATCAACTAATGGGCAAAATAACCAGCTAGCATCATAATGACAGGATCATATTCACACATAACAATATTAACCTTAAATGTAAATGGGTTAAATGCCCAAATTAAAAGTCACAGACGGAAAACTGGATAGAGTCAAGACCCATCAGTGTGCTGTATTCAGGAGACCCATCTCACATGCAAAGACACACATAGGCTCAAAATAAAGGGATGGGAGAAGCTTTACCAAGCAAATGGAAAGCAAAAAAAGAGCAGGGGTTGCAATCTTCGCCCTTGATAAAACAGACTTTAAATCAACAAAGATCAACAAAGACAAAGAAGTGCATCACATAATAATAAAGGCATCAATGCAACAAGGAGAGCTAACTATCTTAAATATATATGCACCCAATACAGGAGCACCCAGATTCATAAAGCAAGTTCTGAAAGGCCTAAAAAGAGACTTAGACTCCCACACAATAATAATGGGAGACTTTAACACTCCACTGTCAATATTAGACAGATCGAGACAGAAAATTAGCAAGGATATTCAGGACTTGAACTCAGCTCTGGACCATGCAGACCTAATAGATAGCTACAGAACTCTCCACCCCAAATCAACAGAATATACATTCTTCTCAGCATCACATCACACTTATTCTAAAATTGATCACATAATTGGAAGTAAAACACTCCTCAGCAAATGCAAAAGAACAGAAATCATAACAAATGGTCTCTCTGAACACAGTGCAATCAAATTAAAACTCAGGATTAAGAAACTCACTCAAAACTGCACAACTACATGGAAACTGAACAACCTGCTCCTGAATGACTACTGGGTAAATAACGAAATTAAGGCAGAAATAAGTAAGTTCTTTGAAACCAGTGAGAACAAAGACGCAACGTCCCAGAATCTCTGGGACACAGCTAACGCAGTGTTTAGAGGGAAATTTATAGCACTAAATGCCCACAGGAGAAACCTAGAAAGATCTAAAATTGATACCCTAACATCACAATTAAAAGAACTAGAGAAGCAAGAGCAAACAAATTCAAAAGCTAGCAGAAGACAAGAAATAACTAAGATCAGAGCAGAACTGAAGGAGATAGAGACACAAAAAACACTTCAAAAGAAATCAATGAATCCAGGAGCTGGTTTTTGGAAAAGATTGACAAAATAGATAGACTGCTAGCCAGATTAATGAAGAAAAGAAAGAAGAATCAAATAGACACAATAAAAAATGATAAAGGGGATATCACCACTGATCCCACAGAAATACAATCAACCATCAGATAATACTATAAACACCTGTATGCAAATAAACTAGAAAATCTAGAAGAAATGGATAAATTCCTGGACACATACAACTTCCCAAGACTAAACCAGGAATAAGTCAAATCCCTGAATAGACCAGTAACAAGTTCTGAAATTGAGGCAGTAATAGCCTATCAACCAAAAAAAGCCCAGGACCAGACAAATTCACAGCCAAATTCTACCAGAGGTACAAAAAGGAGCTGGTACCATTCCTTCTGAAACGATTCCAAACAATAGAAAAAGAGGGACTGCTCCCTAACTCATTTTATGAGGCCAGCATCATCCTGATACCAAAACCTGGCAGAGACACAACAAAAAAATAAAATTTCAGGCCAATAACCCTGATGAACATCGATGCGAAAAATCCTCAATAGAATACTGGCAAACTGAATCCAGCAAAACATTAAAAAGCTTATCTACCACGATCAAGTCAGCTTCATCCATGGGAAGCAAGGCTGGTTCAACATATGCAAATCAGTAAACGTAATCCATCACATAAACAGAACCAATGACAAAAACCACATGATTATCTCAATAGACGCAGAAAAAGCCTTTGATAAAATTCAACACCCCTTCATGCTAAAAACACTCAATAAATTAGGAACTGACGGAACATATCTCAAAATAGTAAGAGCTATTTATGACAAACCCACAGCCAATATCATACTGAATGGGCAAAAACTGGAAGCATTCCCTTTGAAAACTGGCACAAGAAAAGGATGCCCTCTCTCACCACTCCTACTCAACACAGTGTTGGAAGTTCTGGCCAGGGCAACCAGGCAAGAGAAAGAAATAAGGGGTATTCAAATAGGAAGAGAGGAAGTTAAATTATCTTTGTTTGCAGATGACATGATTGTATATTTAGAAAACCCCAACATCTCAGCCCAAAATCTCCTTAAGCCAAAAAGCAACGTCAACAAAGTCTCAGGATATAAAATCAACGTGCGAAAATCACGAGCATTCCTATACACCAATATCAGCCAAATCATGAGCAAACTCCCATTCACAATTGCTCCAAAGAGAATAAAATACCTAGGAATACAACTTACAAGGGATGTGAAGGACCTCTTCAAGGAGAACTACAAACCACTGCTCAAGGAAATAAGAGACAACACAAAAAAATGGAAAAACATCCCATGCTCATGGATAGGAAGAACCAATATTGTGAAAATGACCATACTGCCCAAAGTAATTTATAGATTCAATGTTATTCCCATCAAACTACCATTGACTTTCTTCACAGAATTAGGAAACAACTACTTTAAATTTCATATGGAACCAAAAAAGAGCCCGTATAGCCATGACAATCCTAAGCAAAAAGAACAAAGCTGGAGGCATCATGCTACCTGACTTCAAACTATACTGCAAGGCTACTGTAACCAAAACAGGATGGTACTGGTACCAAAACAGATATATAGACCAAATGGAACAGAACAGAGCCCTCAGAAATAACACATCTACAACCATCTGATTTTTAACAAACCTGCCAAAAACAAGCAATGGGGAAAGAATTCCCTATTTAAGAAACGGGGTTGCAGAAAACTGAAACTGGACCCCTTCCTTACACCTTATACAAAAATTAACTCAAGATGGATTAAAGATTTAAACATAAGACCTAAAAGCATAAAAACCCTAGAAGAAAACCTAGGCAATACCATTCAGGACACAGGCATGGGTGATAACTTCATGACTAAAACACCAAAAGCAATTGCAACAAAAGCCAAAATTGACAAATGGGATTTAATTAAACTAAAGAGCTTCTGCACAGCAAAAGAAACTATCATCAGAGTGAACAGGCAACCTACAGAATGGGAGAAAATTTTTGCAATCTATCCATCTGACAAAGGGCTAATATCCAGAATCTACAAAGAACTTAAACAAATTTACAAGAAAAAAATGAACAACGCTATCAAAAAATGGGCAAAGGATATGAACAGACACTTCTCAAAAGAAGAAATTTATGTGGCCAACAAATATATGAAAAACAGCTCATCATTGCTGGTCATTAGAGAAATTCAAATCAAAACCACAATGAGATACCATCTCATGCCAGTTAGAATGGCCATCATTACAAAGTCATGAAACAACAGATGCTGGAGAGGATGTGAAAAAATAGAAACGCTTTTATAATGTTAGTGAGAGTGTAAATTAATTCAACCATTGTGGAAGACAGTGTGGCAATTCCTCAAGGATCTAGAATCAGAAATACCATTTGACCCAGCAATCCTATTACTGGGTATATACCCAAAGGATTATAAATCATTCTAGTATAAGGACACATGCATACGTATGTTTATTGCAGCACTATTCACAATAGCAGAGACTTGGAACCAACCCAAATGCCCATCAATGATAGACTGGATAAAGCAAATGTGGCACATATACACCATGGAATACTATTCAGCCATAAAAAAGGATGAGTTCATATCCTTTGCAGGGACATGGATGAAGCTGGAAACCATCATTCTCAGCAAACTAACACAGAAACAGAAAACCAAACACCACATGTTCTCACTCATAAGTGGGAGGTGAAAAATGAGAACACATGGACACAGGGAGGGGAACATCACACACTGGGGCCTGTTGGGGAGTGTGGGGCAAGGGGAGGGATAGCATTAGAAGAAATACCTAATGTAGATGACTGGTTGATGGGTGCAGCAAACCACCATGGCACATGTATACCTATGTAATAAACCTACATGTTCTGCACATGTATCCCAGAACTTAAAGTATAATAATAATAATAATAATAATAATAATAATAATAATAATAATAAAAAGACTACATACAGGTTAAGGTTTTGCCGCTTAGTAGCTATGGGACTATTGATAGACTTAATTTCTTAGACACCCATTTCATTTTCTCTAAAATGAGGACAATAATTTACAGACTTGTTTACTCATTCACTGTGTATCTAACTGTATACACTTATTAAACGTACAGTTAATTAGAGAGATTACATAGATGAAGACCCAAAGCTGTGCTCCAAGGAGCTTATGGTCTAACAGCCCTTTCTGAAGATTAAATTACATATTAACATCTAGAATTTGATACATAAGAAGCACTCAGTGACCACTATTTGCTTTCCAACTTCTCCTGTGTTTTCTCAATGAGATTATTAGATGAAAAATTATAGGGATATGGTATTCTAAATTTTTATAAATCTAACAGATACCTTGACTAAAGGAAGGGACAAGCTAAAGAGAGACACTAAAAATGGAGGTAACATGACTCAAATTTCTTCCCTCCACTACTTACTCATAGCCTGGAACAATTTCTGCATTAGATTTAGAAAATCGAGGGAAAATTCTTACAACCTCCTTGAAGAAGAAATAAAATCTTTTTGTAAAACATAAGTATAAAAAACACAAATTCAAGAATCACAAACTTTAGTTACATGGTCACAATCAACACTGAATAACTTCAACCAAAACCATTATAATCCTTCTTGTACTAAAGATGATTTTCTTAAAGTTCTACCATATACTTACAATTTTCTCTAAGATCTTAGAAACATCCCTCCACCCCTTCTTCACAGAGTTTTGTTGTTGTTGTTGATAAAGTAGGCTTTAAAGTACATACCAGATCTTCAGAAAAGTTAATAAGAACCAGCTCCTTCTTTACATACAGATATAAAAAATTCAGGCCCTATCCTGGTTACATTATTATTTCCCTAAATTTATTCTTTCTCTGTAAGTTTCAACATTTCCCCCAAATTCTCAAAGTCAAGCTAATTTGTAATTTATTATCCTAATCTTTTTCTCTTACCCTTTGGTAGGCAGTATCTCTTTAGATCTACTGTGTATTACAGTTGTTTTAAAAATCAGTCTTTGCCAACAACAATCAAATTTGCACATTTTATTCCTTCTATGAAGATGTGCTACCTAAATATTTACTGCCTATGTAGCAAATGAATTCAACATTCTTACAAAGCATTTCTCCTCGGATTTCCTCTCACTTCACTTCTATCACCAATAACATATTCAATTCAATGACTTCATTAGTGACTTTTGCTTCAAATCCTTTTTGGAAGACAGACAACAATAAGTTAATAAGTATGATATGGCAACACAGTCTCTTTCCTTAAAGGATTACTTGGTCACTAACACTTTAAAATCATGAAGTATATAATGCTTTGATGATAGACACATTATTTTTATATGTGTTTCACATTACAGTTGACCTTTCAATAATGCAGGTTTGAACTGTGCGGGTCCACTTATATGCAGATATTTGTCAATAAAAGTTACATCAAATGTGCCTGCCACTTCTTCCTCCCCTTCCACCTTCTCGGCTTACTCCTTCTGCCTCTGTCACCTCTGAGACACTAAGACCAGCCCCTTCCCCTCCTCCAGCATCCTTGACATGAAGATGATGAGAATAAAGACCTTTGTGATGACCCACTTCCTCTAAATGAATAGTAAATATATTTTCTCTTCATGATTTTTCCCCTACCTTCCTTTATTTTAAGGGCATACATAGTACAAATACATACAACACTAAAATGTGTGTTAATTGTTCATTTTACTGGTAAGGCTTTCAGTCAACAGTAGGTTATTAGCAGGTAAGTTTTTGGGGAGTCTAAAGTTACGCTCAGATTTTTGACTGTGTGGGTGTGTCGGGGGGGTGTCAGTTCCCCTAACTCCTGTGTTGTTCAAGGGTGAACTATATTTCATCTGATCTTTATACAATCCACGGAAATAGAAAGCTCAGTTAATATGTCCATTTTGTACTGAAGAAAACTAAGGCCCAGAAAGCTTACAACCTTCCAAAGCTCACTGGACTACTATAACCATTCTGAATTTCCATTCATTTGTTTATCAGCATCAACAATGGAGTTCCTTTGGTAGGCTATAAATCTAATACAAGATTGAAAGAACTGTCCTTTCTTTTTATTTGATTTCTTTACCGTAGCCAGTAATGTCCTACATAAGTTCAACTCCAAGATAATAAAATAGAAAAGACTGACAACAGCCATATAAAGTCTATAGCCTATTTCTGTACCTGTTGTGATCCTCTCTTCTCCACAAACCAGTCTAAACATGATTAAAGTTGTCACAACAAGTACATCAAAGGATAGAGAGTAAAGACAAAAATATAGAGTAAAATAATATAAGATGGCATTACGAACTCTTCAGTGAGAGTGTATTTAGAATAAAATCTTAAAACTATCAGGAAAAAGTAAAATTAAATCAAATCATCACAAGTCTCTTAGTCCGTTTTCTGTTGCTATAACAGAATATCACAGACTAGTTAAGTTATAAAGAAAAGAAATTTATTTGGCTCACAGTTCTGGAGGCTGGCAAGTCCAAGAATATGGTACCAGCATCTGACAAGGGCCTCTGTGCTATGTTATAACATGTTGGAATAGCAAGCAAACACAGAGGGACCAAGAGAGAGGCACCAGGGATTGGACTTACTTTATTCAACCCAATCACCTCTTATTAGATCCCACCTCCTAACACTATTGCATTGGGATGAAGTTTCAAACACACAAACTTTGGGGGAACAAAGTCAAACCACAGCCAACAGGGAAAAGGAAAAAAGTAGGGACAGAATACTGAAAACTTGCCAATATGAATACATTAAGACTGGCAATTAGATAGCACAAAATGAACGCATTCCTCTTGGGAAAACTGCAGATACTACCATATAGCAAGATTAGCCAGACAGCAAACTCTTCCATAATTCCTTTACACGAAGAGAACGTACTTCTGAAAGATCAGAAGTAATGTTAGAAGACAAGCTTAGGTGGGAATAGTAAAAAGTTAAGAGCATTTCTACTTTCAGATGCATAGAGAGCTTCTATTGTTATTTAAAGGATGTGTTTCTAAGCAACAGGAAAATATTGCGAAGAGGATCCTCAAAGGACAAACCCACCTTAAATACACAGATCATTATATAAAAATAACAATGATAATAATGAGAAAAATTAAGGTTCAATTTATAGGAGCATTTTCAAAATGCCAGGCACTGGGCATTTTACTGACATAATCATCAATCTTCATAACTTTGCAACACAAATAGTATTGGCCTTATTTTTACTAAAGAAAATGTACTCTTAGAGTTGAGCTCATCTAGTGACTTGCCTAAGGCATTAAACCTCTCATCATGCAACACACACAATTAAAACACACACTAGTTGGCTGCCACCATTAGACCCTACCCCAATCTGATGACTGTTATCTTCCATTGAATAAAAAAGCACAAGGCCTCACAAAAGAGTTAGTTGGTGCTTTCATTCTTGGTCTGTTTCAGAACCTGAGTCTCCTTTTTAGGTAGGCATGTTTCCACAGAGCTAACAAATAACAAGATATACTGCATGCTGGTAAACTGTACTTTCAAGGAAACAAACTTCACTCCTTTACCACAGCTCTTCCTACCTAATGATTATTTTAAAAACTATGCACTCTTTAAAGTAAAATAACATTAGCTACCATTTATGGGGCAACTTACCAGGAGCCAGGCACTGTGTTCAGTATTTTACATTCATTACCTCAATTAATGGGAATCCAGGTCTATCTAATTACAAAGCCAGGGATCTTTCCAACTCATCATCTTGGCTCATATCCAGCTTTGATTTAGTCTGCATTACTCTATTGCCCAAAGCACTAAATTAGACTGATGCAGATAAAGGATTACTGCTATAAGTGAAAAAGTGTGTGATACATACATACTTAATCTGATTACTTTGCCAGACTGCATAAAACTAAACTGAAAATAACCAATAAATTTCTGTAGTCATTAAAAAATACAGAACTGTTTAGAGGTCATGAAAATTATACCAGTGATTGTGACTATATTTGTCTTTTGTCTCTGAAAATATAACAGTGACAATTGGCAGGTGCTTTTCCAGAAGCTTCCCTCTTACATAAGCTACCACATACAACGGGTTCTTGATTGTTTTTCTGGTAGAGAGGAATCATTACAAAGAAACTGATTTTTTTTTCATTAACAACTCAGCTATTATATCGTGTGTGATTCCTTATAATCATCAACTTAGTAAATGTAACTGATTGTCGTATATGTGCTAAGTAGTAGTAAACAGTGGAGGGACATAAATAAATAAAGTAGAGCTTTTAACCTCAAGTAGCTTACAGTCCACAAGAAACAAGATCATATATAAAACCTGTCCGTGATATGTATAAAAATGTCTATTTTTTTTTTTTGGGGGGAGACTGAGTTCCACTGCTATTGTCCAGTCTGGAGTGCAACGGTGTGATCCTGGCTCACTGGAACCTCTACCTCCTGGGTTCAAGCAATTCTCCGGCCTTAGCCTCCCAAGTAGCTGGGATTATGGGCTTAATAACAAATTTGGGGCACTAAAGCACAGCTGTGAGGACTTAGATGCTGGTAGAAAATTGGAGTGGCAGGAATTTGACTTTACAATACACTTGTCTTCCCACAAATTCACAGGCAGTGGCATAGACATTAAATATAGATGAGTGCTTTCCATAATATGCAACACAAACCAAACTAAATATTAGTGGACATCCATTAAATGCCGACTACAGAGTTTAAGGACTAGAGATCAAAGGTGAATAACAATTCTTCTCAGAACATAAGAAGCTCCTTGTAGTGCACAGGACAGGTTTCTTCATTACTATGGGGTGAATAACAACTGTGTTTCCTAGATTTTATTAGAAGCTGGAAGGACTTCATCAGAATGATCATGTCACTATCATATGAAAAAGATCTCTTAGGAAAAATAAGAATAGGTGACAAATACCATTAAGCTCTCCTGGTTGATAATTTCTCCAGATAGATAGAACCTTAGCAATAATCCAGTGTCAGCCCTCATTTTATAAATAAGACTTTAACAGGGTAAGGTCACCCAGGTAACTGGAGGCATAGTCTTATACCGGGTTTGTCCTAATGGTTGCAAGAGAAGTTTCAGTAGATCCTCTTTGTCTTAGTATATTATGCTGACACTATTATGAAAGGTGACTATATATTAGGGAAGTAAATATAACACAGAGCGTCACTCACAAACTGGGAACATTTTTGTTGTATGAGTCACTGCAACAGAATTTCTTTTTGTAGTCATAGATCAGTTTGGCCAAGTATTCTTAGATCTGTAACATAACTTGAAGTATCATTCAATATATTATTAGGGGTTCACTAAATGCCAAATGGTAACCATAAGAATTAGATATCAAAGGCAAATAAGAATTCTCAGAAAGGAAATTTTTTTCCTTTGTTTTACTGCAATTTCTTAAGTATTAAATCACATTTTCCTATTGACTTCAATAAATTTAAAGCATATCCTTGGGTTACTAGAATGAACCATTAAAGATCACTTCATCAAAATAAAATATTTAAACATAAAAACCTATAGTACAGTTGTCCCTCAGTGTATTCTGGGGATTGGTTCCAGGATCCCTCACATATACCAAAATCCGTGCATATTCCAGTCCTGCAGTTGGCCCTGTGGAACCTGCATATATGAAAAGCTGGTGTATTAGTCTGTTTTCATGCTATTGATAAAGACATACCCAAGACTGGGCGATTTACAAAAGAAAGAAGTTTACTGGACTTACAGTTCCATGTGGCTGAGGAGGCCTCACAATCATGGTGAAAGGTGAAAGGCAAGCCTCACATGGTAGCAGGCAAGAGAGGAACTTGTGTAAGGAAACTCCCCTTATAATACCATCAGATCTCATGAGACTTATTCGCTATCATGAGAACAGCATGGGAAAGATCTGCCCAATGATTCAGTTACCTCCCACCAGGTCCCTCCCACAACACATGGGAATTCAAGATGAGATTTGGGTGGGGACACAGCCAAACCATATCATTCCACTCCTGGCCCCTCCCAAATCTCATGTCCTTACATTTCAAAACCAATCATGCCTTCCCAACAGTCCCCCAAAGTCTTAACTCATTTCAACATTAACTCAAAAGCCCACAGTCCAAAGTCTCATCCAAGAGGAGACAAGACCCTTCTGCCTATGAGCCTGTAAAATCAAAAGCAAGTTAGTTATTTCCTAGACACAATGGGGGTACAGGCATTGGATAAATACAGCCGTTCCAAATGGGGGAAACTGGACAAAACAAACGGGCTAAACGCCCCATGCAAATCTGAAATCCAGTGAGGAAGTAAAATCTTAGAGCTCCAAAATGATCTCCTTTGACTTCATGTCTCACATCCAGGCCATGATGATGCAAGAAGTGGGTTCCCATGGTCTCGGGCAGCTCCACCTCTGTGGCTTTGCAGGGTACAGACTCCCTCCTGGCTGCTTTCATGGGCTGGCATTGAATGTCTGCAGATTTTCCAGATGCACAGTGCAAGCTGTTGGTGGTTCTACCATTCTAGGGTATGGAGGATGGTGGCCCTCTTCTCACAGCTCCACTAGGCAATGTTCCAGAAGGGACTCTGTGAGGGAGCTCTGACCCCACATTTCCCTTCTGCACTGCCCTAGCAGAGGTTCTCCATGAGGGCCTCGCCCCTGCAGCAAAATTTTACCTGGGCATCCAGATGTTTCCGTACATCTTTTGAGGTCTAGGCAGAGGTACTCAAACTTCAATTCTTGACTTCTGTGCACCCGCAGGCTCAACACTATGTGGAAGTCGCCAAGGCTTGGGGCTTCCACCCTCTGAAGCAACAGCCCGGGCTGTACCTTGGGCCCTTTTAATCACAGCTGGAGTGACTGGGACACAGGGCACCAAGTCCCTAGACTGCACAGAGCAGAGGGACCCTGGGCCCTGCCCATGAAACCATTTTTTTTTTTCTCCTAAACCTCTGGGCTTGATGAGAGCAGCTGCTGCAAAGTTCTCTGACATGACCTGGAGACATTTTCCCCATTGTCTTAGTGGTTAACATTCGGCTCCTCCTTACTTCTGCAGCCAGCTTGAATTTCTTCTCAGAAAATGGGATATTCTTTTCTAACACATTGTCAGGCTGCAAATTTTCCAAACTTTTATGCTCTGTTTCCCTTTTAAAACTGAATGCCTTTAACAGCACCCAAGTCACCTCTTGAATGCTTTGCTGTTTAGAAATTTATTCTGCCAGATAGCCTAAATCATCTCTCTCGAATTCAAATTCCACAAATCTCTAGGGCAGGGTCAAAATGCTGGCAGTCTCTTTGCTAAAACATAACAAGAGTCACCTTTGCTCCAGTTCCCAACAAGTTCCTCATCTCCATCTGAGACCACCTCAGCCTGGATTTCACTGTCCATATCATTATCAGCATTTTGGTCAAAGCCATTCAACAAGTCTCTAGGGAGTTCCAAACTCTTCCACATTTTCCTATCTTCTTCTGAGCCCTCAAAACTGTTTCAGTCTCTGCCTGTTACCCAGTTGCAAAGTTGCTTCCATATTTTCGGGTCTCTTTTCAGCAGTGCCCCACTCTCCTGGTACCCATTTACTATACTGGTCCATTTTCACATTGCTGATAAAGACATAACCACGAAGATGGCCGAACAGGAACAGCTCCGGTCTACAGCTCCCAGTGTGAGCGACGCAGAAGACGGGTGATTTCTGCATTTCCATCTGAGGTACCGGGTGCATCTCACTAGGGAGTGCCAGACAGTGGGCGCAGGCCAGTGGGTGCACGCACCGTGCGCGAGCCTAAGCAGGGCGAGGCATTGCCTCACCTGGGAAGTGCAAGGGGTCAGGGAGTTCCCTTTCCGAGTCAAAGAAAGGGGTGACGAACGCACCTGGAAAATCGGGTCACTCCCACCCGAATATTGCGCTTTTCAGACCGGCTTAAAAAACGGCGCACCACGAGATTATATCCCACACCTGGCTCGGAGGGTCCTACGCCCACGGAATCTCACTGATTGCTAGCACAGCAGTCTGAGATCAAACTGCAAGGCAGCAGCGAGGCCGGGGGAGGGGCGCCCGCCATTGCCCAGGCTTGCTTAGGTAAACAAAGCAGCCGGGAAGCTCGAGCTGGGTGGAGCCCACCACAGCTCAAGGAGGCCTGCCTGCCTCTGTAGGCTCCACCTCTGGGGGCAGGGCACAGACAAACAAAAAGACAGCAGTAACCTCTGCAAACTTAAATGTCCCTGTCTGACAGCTTTGAAGAGAGCAGTGGTTCTCCCAGCACGCAGCTGGAGATCTGAGAACGGGCAGACTGCCTCCTCAAGTGGGTCCCTGACCCGTGACCCCCGAGCAGCCTAACTGGGAGGCCCCCCCCAGCAGGGGCACACTGACACCTCACACTGCAGGGTATTCCAACAGACCTGCAGCTGAGGGTCCTGTCTGTTAGAAGGAAAACAAACAGAAAGGACATCCACACCGAAAACCCATCTGTACATCACCATCATCAAAGACCAAAAGTAGATAAAACCACAAAGATGGGGAAAAAACAGAGCAGAAAAACTGGAAACTCTAAAACGCAGAGCACCTCTCCTCCTCCAAAGGAACGCAGTTCCTCACCAGCAACGGAACAAAGCTGGATGGAGAATGACTTTGACGAGCTGAGAGAAGAAGGCTTCAGACGATCAAATTACTCTGAGCTACAGGAGGACATTCAAACCAAAGGCAAAGAAGTTGAAAACTTTGAAAAAAATTTAGATGAATGTATAACTAGAATAACCAATAAAGAGAAGTACTTAAAGGAGCTGATGGAGCTGAAAACCAAGGCTCGAGAACTACGTGAAGAATGCAGAAGCCTCAGGAGCCGATGCGATCAACTGGAAGAAAGGGTATCAGTGATGGAAGATGAAATGAACGAAATCAAGCGAGAAGGGAAGTTTAGAGAAAAAAGAATAAAAAGAAAGGAGCAAAGCCTCCAAGAAATATGGGACTATGTGAAAAGACCAAATCTACGTCTGATTGGTGTACCTGAAAGTGACGGGGAGAATGGAAACAAGTTGGAAAACACTCTGCAGGATATTATCCAGGAGAACTTCCCCAATCTAGCAAGGCAGGCCAACATTCAGATTCAGGAAATACAGAGAATGCCACAAAGATACTCCTCGAGAAGAGCAACTCCAAGACACATAATTGTCACATCCTCCAAGGTTGAAATGCAGAAAAAAATGTTAAGGGCAGCCAGAGAGAAAGGTCATGTTACTTACAAAGGGAAGCCCACCAAACCAACAGCGAATCTCTCTGCAGAAACCCTATAAGCCAGAAGAGTGGGGGCCAATATTCAACATTCTTAAAGAAAAGAATTTTCAACCCAGAATTTCATATCCAGCCAAACTAAGCTTCATAAGTGAAGGAGAAATAAAATACTTTACAGACAAGCAAATGCTGACCGATTTTGTCACCACCAGGCCTGCCCTAAAAGAGCTCCTGAAGGAAGCACTAAACATGGAAAGGAACAACCGGTACCAGCCGCTGCAAAATCATGCCAAAATGTCAAGACCATCGAGACTAGGAAGAAACTGCATCAACTAACGAGCAAAATCACCAGCTAACATCATAATGACAGGATCAAATTCACACATAACAATATTAACTTTAAATATAAATGGACTAAATTCTCCAATTAAAAGACACAGACTGGCAAATTGGATAAAGAGTCAAGATCCATCAGTGTGCTGTATTCAGGAAACCCATCTCACATGCAGAGACACACATAGGCTCAAAATAAAAGGATGGAGGAAGATCTACCAAGCAAATGGAAAACAAAAAAAGGCAGGGGTTGCAATCCTAGTCTCTGATAAAACAGACTTTAAACCAACAAAGATCAAAAGAGACAAAGAAGGCCATTACATAATGGTAAAGGGATCAATTCAACAAGAAGAGCTAACTATCCTAAATATATATGCACCCAATACGGGAGCACCCAGATTCATAAAGCAAGTCCTGAGTGACCTACAAAGAGACTTAGACTCC
Organism: Homo sapiens; assembly: GCF_000001405.40. Classification (NCBI taxonomy): domain Eukaryota; kingdom Metazoa; phylum Chordata; class Mammalia; order Primates; family Hominidae; genus Homo; species Homo sapiens. Next base: position 171,087,591 of record NC_000005.10, on the reverse strand, counting down.
CACACATTAATAATGGGAGACTTTAACACCCCACTGTCAACATTAGACAGATCAACAAGACAGAAAGTCAACAAGGATATCCAGGAATTGAACTCAGCTCTGCACCAAGCAGACCTAATAGACATCTACACTACTCTCCACCCCAAATCAACAGAATATACATTTTTTTCAGCACCACACCACACCTATTCCAAAATTGACCACATAGCTGGAAGTAAAGCTCTCCTCAGCAAATGTAAAAGAACAGAAATTATAACAAACTATCTCTCAGACCACAGTGCAATCAAACTAGAACTCAGGATTAAGAATCCCACTCAAAGCTGCACAACTACATGGAAACTGAACAACCTGCTCCTGAATGACTACTGGGTACATAACGAAATGAAGGCAGAAATAAAGATGTTCTTTGAAACCAATGAGAACAAAGACACAACATACCAGAATCTCTGGGACGCATTCAAAGCAGTGTGTAGAGGGAAATTTATAGCACTAAATGCCCACAAGAGAAAGCAGGAAAGATCCAAAATTGACACCCTAACATCACAATTAAAAGAACTAGAAAAGCAAGAGCAAACACATTCAAAAGCTAGCAGAAGGCAAGAAATAACTAAAATCAGAGCAGAACTGAAGGAAATAGAGACACAAAAAACCCTTCAAAAAATCAATGAATCCAGGAGCTGGTTTTTTGAAAGGATCAACAAAATTGATAGACCGCTAGCAAGACTAATGAAGAAAAAAAGAGAGAAGAATCAAATAGACACAATAAAAAATGATAAAGGGGATATCACCACCGATCCCACAGAAATACAAACTACCATCAGGGAATACTACAAACACCTCTACGCAAATAAACTAGAAAATCTAGAAGAAATGGATAAATTCCTCGACACATACACTCTCCCAAGACTAAACCAGGAAGAAGTTGAATCTGTGAATAGACCAATAACAGGAGCTGAAATTGTGGCAATAATCAATAGTTTACCAACCAAAAAGAGTCCAGGACCAGATGGATTCACAGCCGAATTCTACCAGAGGTACAAGGAGGAACTGGTACCATTCCTTCTGAAACTATTCCAATCAATAGAAAAAGAGGGAATCCTCCCTAACTCATTTTATGAGGCCAGCATCATTCTGATACCAAAGCCTGGCAGAGACACAACCAAAAAGAGAATTTTAGACCAATATCCTTGATGAACATTGATACAAAAATCCTCAATAAAATACTGGCAAACCGAATCCAGCAGCACATCAAAACGCTTATCCACCATGATCAAGTGGGCTTCATCCCTGGGATGCAAGGCTGGTTCAATATACGCAAATCAATAAATGTAATCCAGCATATAAACAGAGCCAAAGACAAAAACCACATGATTATCTCAACAGATGTAGAAAAAGCCTTTGACAAAATTCAACAACCCTTCATGCTAAAAACTCTCAATAAATTAGGTATTGATGGGACGTATCTCAAAATAGTAAGAGCTATCTATGACAAACCCACAGCCAATATCATACTGAATGGGCAAAAACTGGAAGCATTCCCTTTGAAAACTGGCACAAGACAGGGATGCCCTCTCTCACCACTCCTATTCAACATAGTGTTGGAAGTTCTGGCCAGGGCAATTAGGCAGGAGAAGGAAATAAAGGGTATTCAATTAGGAAAAGAGGAAGTCAAATTGTCCCTGTTTGCAGATGACATGATTGTATATCTAGAAAACCCCATTGTCTCAGCCCAAAATCTCCTTAAGCTGATAAGCAACTTCAGCAAAGTCTCAGGATACAAAATCAATGTACAAAAATCACAAGCATTCTTATACACCAACAACAGACAAACAGAGAGCCAAATCATGAGTGAACTCCCATTCACAATTGCTTCAAAGAGAATAAAATACCTAGGAATCCAACTTACAAGGGATGTGAAGGACCTCTTCAAGGAGAACTACAAACCACTGCTCAAGGAAATAAAAGAGGATACAAACAAATGGAAGAACATTCCATGCTCATGGGTAGGAAGAATCAATATCGTGAAAATGGCCATACTGCCCAAGGTAATTTACAGATTCAATGCCATCCCCATCAAGCTACCAATGACTTTCTTCACAGAATTGGAAAAAACTACTTTAAAGTTCATATGGAACCAAAAAAGAGCCTGCATTGCCAAGTCAATCCTAAGCCAAAAGAACAAAGCTAGAGGCATCACACTCCCTGACTTCAAACTACACTACAAGGCTACAGTAACCAAAACAGCATGGTACTGGTACCAAAACAGAGATATAGATCAATGGAACAGAACAGAGCCCTCAGAAATAACGCTGCATATCTACAACTATCTGATCTTTGACAAACCTGAGAAAAACAAGAAATGGGGAAAGGATTCCCTATTTAATAAATGGTGCTGGGAAAACTGGCTAGCCATATGTAGGAAGCTGAAACTGGATCCCTTCCTTACACCTTATACAAAAATCAATTCAAGATGGATTAAAGATTTAAACGTTAGACCTAAAACCATAAAAACCCTAGAAGAAAACCTAGGCATTACCATTCAGGACATAGGCATGGGCAAGGACTTCATGTCCAAAACACCAAAAGCAATGGCAACAAAAGCCAAAATTGACAAATGGGATCTAATTAAACTAAAGAGCTTCTGCACAGCAAAAGAAACCACCATCAGAGTGAACAGGCAACCTACAAAATGGGAGAAAATTTTCGCAACCTACTCATCTGACAAAGGGCTAATATCCAGAATCTACAATGAACTCAAACAAATTTACAAGAAAAAAACAAACAACCCCATCAAAAAGTGGGCGAAGGACATGAACAGACACTTCTCAAAAGAAGACATTTATGCAGCCAAAAAACACATGAAAAAATGCTCATCATCACTGGCCATCAGAGAAATGCAAATCAAAACCACAATGAGATACCATCTCACACCAGTTAGAATGGCAATCATTAAAAAGTCAGGAAACAACAGGTGCTGGAGAGGATGTGGAGAAATAGGAACACTTTTACACTGTTGGTGGGACTGTGAACTAGTTCAACCATTGTGCAAGTCAGTGTGGCGATTCCTCAGGGATCTAGAACTAGAAATATCATTTGACCCAGCCATCCCATTACTGGGTATATACCCAAAGGACTATAAATCATGCTGCTATAAAGACACATGCACACATATGTTTATTGTGGCACTATTCAAAATAGCAAAGACTTGGAACCAACCCAAATGTCCAACAATGATAGACTGGATTAAGAAAATGTGGCACATATACACCATGGAATACTATGCAGCCATAAAAAATGATGAGTTCATGTCCTTTGTAGGGACATGGATGGAATTGGAAATCATCATTCTCAGTAAACTATCGCAAGAACAAAAAAACAAACACTGCATATTCTCACTCATAGGTGGGAATTGAACTATGAGAACACATGGACACAGGAAGGGGAATATCACACTCTGGGGACTGTGGTGGGGTCGGGGGAGGGGGGAGGGATAGCATTGGGAGATATACCTAATGCTAGATGACGAGTTAGTGGGTGCAGCGCACCAGCATGGCACATGTATACATATGTAACTAACCTGCACAATGTGCACATGTACCCTAAAACTTAAAGTATAATTAAAAAAAAAAAAGACATAACCACAACTGGGCAATTTACAAAAGAATGAGGTTTATTGGACTTACAGTTCCAAGTGGCTGGGGAGGCCTTACGATCATGGCAAAAGGTGAAAGGCACGTCTCACATGGCAGCAGGCAAGAGAGGAGCTTATGTAAGGAAACTCCCCCTTATAATATCATCAGATGTTGTGAGACTTATTTGCTATCATGAGAACAGCATGGGAAAGACCTGCCCCATGATTCACTTACCTCCCACTGGGTTCCTCCCACAACATGTGGGAATTCAAGATGAGATTTGGATGGGGACACAGCCACACCATATCAGCTGGCCCTCCACATATATAGGTTTTGCATTACATTAATAATGTATTTTTCCATCCTTGACTGAACAGAGAAAAAATAATGTAGAAGTTGACATGCACAGTTCAAACTTGTGTTGTTCAAGGGTCAACTGTAATTGTCTTAGTTCAGGCTGCTGTAACAGAATACCATAGACCAGGTGGCTTAGAAACAACAGAAATTTATTTCTCACAGCTCTGAAGATTGGAAGTCCAATATAAGGATGCCAGCATAGTCAGGTCTGGTGAGGGCCCTCTTCTGGGTTGCAGACTACCAATTTTTCATTCTCTCCTTACATGGTGGAAGGAGTGGGCTAGCTTTTTGGCATCTTTTTATAAGGGCACTTATGTCTTTCATGAAGGTTCCACTCTCATGTCTTAATTACCTCTTAAAGGTCCCACCTCCAAATACCATCATATTGGGATTAGATTTCAACATATGAATGTTGAGGGCACACAAATATGCAGTCCATGACAGTAACCAATGCAAAATGTAAATGCAAAGTAACTAGGGAATTCCTTTGATATTTACCAAGAAGATTAAAAGTTCAAAGTCAAACAAGAAAAGAAAATGAATTAAATTGAATACTTTATTCTGAAAAGCCGTCTTTCATTTGTTCAATTTATAATCCCTGTTGGGGAGCTGACTGTCTTTTAAAAATGGACATGTTTACTTGATAGGAGAGGCAACTACGATTTTCTTCCTTGAAACAAGAAGTAAATAAATTCAGCTGTTCCTTTTTTTTTTTTCTTTAAAGAGGTTACATCTGATCATACCCAAAATGCTACAGTCTATCTAAGGTTACACACCAAATCCAGGTTACAAAAACTTGTACTAGCAAATAAGATACCTAAATTGTCTGGCAAAGCAGAAGTTATTTAAGAATTCAAATTCTTTCACATATGTTAACTAAAATAATTCCCACAATAACTGTTTAATAGGTTCTATCACCCTCATTTTGCAGACAAGAAAGCTCAGGCCTTAAAAGGTTATGTGACCTTCCAATTTATGTGACCAGAAAATTAGGGGCAGAGTCACACTAGAACAGAGGATTCCTGATTTCTACTACATTCTCTTTTTAGAGGTACTGGGTCAGTGTAAAAATGTTGAGCAAAGGGTAGATGAGACTATAATTTTATCTGAGATGCATACATTGATTATAGCTTCTGCCACACTGAGATTGCCTAAGGATCATCCTCTCATCACAAGTTGAAATGTTTCTTACAAGCTTAGCAGTTAATTACCTATTCGAACTGATCAACTGGCTCTTTTATCAAATATAGAATTAATCCTCATGTACCTGAAAACTTCAGGCTCCCAGAAACACAAGAAAATGGCTGATTAATCATCATTCCTTTACTGACACCTGAAGGTGCCTGGAGTCACAATGCCACATATATTCTATATGTGTGTGTGTATTTTAATGAAAAACAAAGGTAAGATATTCTATTTGAGATGAGCGCAAGTCAGGTGTGTAACACAGTATTGCCAATTCAAAGAAGGCAACTGGATATTAGAAAAATATCTGCTTTAAGGGCTAGGAAGAAGAACATTTAGAAATGCTGTAACAAAAATTATTTTTAAGGTTTTATTAATTAGAAGTATGTGAAGGAAAAAATGACTTCAAGTCAAAATTCTAAGCCTAAAAAGTTACACAATTTTAGAGTTAGAAGGATTCTCAGGTCATTTCATTTATTTCAGTTTTAATAAGGAAATGAAAAACGACAAACATTAAGTGACTGCTCTAAAACAGATTCATGAAAGAGTAGGAAAAGAACTGTTCATCTGATAGTAATTGCATTCGACATATCTAACATATTACATGTATTACAATAAACTGGTAAGAAGCTATCTTATTTCCTTTATAAAAATTCCAATTAAGTAATGTGCCTTTAAATGTAAAATAACATCAAATCAGGAGGTTTTATGTGAAAATTTTTATTTAGCAGTGTATGTTCCATGATATTTATTATTACAAAACTAAGTTGATTTTCTTAGTTTGAATTACAAAGACTATTTCCAAATCACAAAATAAATAAGCTGCTTTCTCAAAGATAACAGTTGTACAATGATATGTACAAATTAAACAGCTGGAAAGTTAACTATTTTGTAAAGTCAAGATTATTATGTTATAAACAAAGGACACTACATGATACGTTCAGTTAATATTTCAACACTTGGCATTAGAGTGCAGCTGATTGTGAATACACTGCTAACTACTATACAGCAATCTAATATCTCATAAATCATTCATAATAAATCAAATCTGCAGAGTATACTGGGAAGCAGTTCTTAACCCATATTCTTTTATTCAATGACCATGATGTAGCTCTTATCCTCTTATTAAATGATGTGAAGGCCATCACTTATATTAGTTTTACTGACTAGGGGGAAAAGGAGAAAGAAAATAAGAGATACCACTACCGAAGAAATAGAACCAAGGGCAAGAACACCTATTGAGTGCCTGTCCTCAGAGACACAGCTGGAAAGTAGTAAAAGGATAAGCTTTAAACTCAGATGGACTAGGGTTTTAAGTATCAGTTCTATCACTAGTCAGACGAACTTAGAGCCTCTGGGCTCCAATTTTGTCATCTATAAAGTGGGGTCAAATAATCTACCTTAAAACATCACACAGTCAATGCCCAGTACAAAGGAGGTTCTCAGTATATAAAAACTGTTATTATTTAGTTGAGGAAAAAGTTTGGCACATAAATTACACTTATGATGAAAACAAAATTGTAAGATATGGTCCTCTCTTTTCATACAAAAATGCCCCAAAAGGCTCTACATTACCAAGGCCAGTCTTACACAGCTTCTTTCTTATAATAATGATGAAGAGTGTTCTATGCAGAATGTTCTATTTGCAGCAGCGATTCATTGTGTGCATGGAAAAAACTGCTGACACGTAGAGAAGATATTTTCCCGTAAAAGGTTGAAGTCCTTAAGCAGCAAAAAACACCAACGTCCATCATCTTTAAACCCTATTGATTTCTGGTGAAGATTTAAAAGGCTGTTTACTTATTTCCCATCATTTCTGTCAGAGCTGTAACAGTTCTCTTCCCACTGAATAAACCTCACATGATCCTCTTGGTGATTCAGGTCAGACAAAATGTCAAACTCCTAACGCTAAGTGCTTTCACATTAAAAATTCATATCAAATCACCAAGTAAAATCCAAACAAGAAGTCAGACATGTAAACAATTCACAAAAAAGAGTTGCACTGACTATTATAGAATATAGGTGCACTGTAGCTGTGGAAAAAAAGGTTTGGCAACAGGTCAGAGCACTTTGTCCTTTATCCTGGCATTTACACTGTCATTTCCTATTTTAAAATCAGTAGGCCATGCTGGACTCAAGCCGTGTGTGTGTGTGTGTGTGTGTGTGTGTGTGTTTTGTGTGTGTGTATGTAAGATAATATATCACTAGTATCGCCCCAAGTAATTAGCAATCATTTGGTTCTACAAGTTCAACATGGCCTTTTGTTTTAAAGCATAAAGTGTGTGGGCAGAGGGAGTATTTGCTTAAAAAGAAAACAAAACAAAACACTGACAGGTTTTCTTCCAGGCATGAGTGGATCCGAAGGGTAAAAAAAATGTTATCAGGATCAGTTTATCTCCATCTCTCAGTGTTTCTTTTGACCTTTTTCATTCACTCTCAAGCTAGCTATTTGAATATGGTAGCCCCTAAATACCAGTCAAGACTTATATTTTCCAAGCTACAAATTCAGTGAAATGAGAACTTCTCTTCCCAAATACCGACACACCTTAAAGATAATGCAGTTTCTGTTCCACACCACTGCAATCAAGCAAGTCATACAAATACTTGTGTCTGCAAAAAAAATTGTTGCATTTACATGTTTACATGATACTATAGTCTATTACCTGTGCAATCACACTATGTCTAAAAAATAATGTATACACCTTAATTAAAACATACTTTATTGCTAAAAAAATGCTAACAATCACCTGAGCCTTCAGTGAACTGTAATTTTTTTGCTGGCAGAGGGTCTGGCCTCGATGTTGGTGTCTTCTGACCGATAAGGGTGGTAGTGGCTGAAGGTTAGTTGGCTTATGGCAATTTCTTAAAATAAAACAACATTGAAATTTGCTGCACTGATTGACTTCTTTTCACAAAAAATTCCTCTGCAACATACAATGCTGTTTGATAGCATTTGACCCACAGGAGAACGACTTTCAAAACTGGAGTCAATGCTCTCAAACCTTGCCATCACTTTATCAACTAATGTTATGTAATTTTCTAAATCTTTTGTCATTTCAACAACGTTCACGGCATCTTCACCACAAGTAGATTCCATCTCAAGATACCATTTTATTTGTTTATTCATAAGAAGAAACTCATCTGTTTGATTTTTATCATGAGATTAAAGTAATTCAGTCACATCTTCAGGCTCCACTTCTAATCTCACAGGTCTCTTGCTGTTTCAACCACATCTGCAGTTATTTCCGATCCTGAAGTCTTGAACCCCTCAGAGTCATCCATGAGGGTTAGAATCAACTCCTTTCAGAGTCAATATATTAATGTTAATATACTGACCTACTTCCATGAATCACAAATGTTCTTAGTGGTATCCAGAATGGTGAAACCTTTCCAGAAGGTTTTCAATTTACTTTGCCCAGATCCATCAGAGAAATCACTATCTATGGCAGCTGCAGTCTTATGAAATGTATTTATCAAATGATAAGACCTGAAAGTCAAAACCACTCCTTGATCCACAAACTGCAGAATGGATGTTGTTAGCAGACATGAAAACAACAATATTCTTGTACATCTCCACCAGAGCTCTTGCATGACCAAGTGTGTGGTCAATGAGCAATAATCTTTTGAAAATTAATCTTTTTTTCTTACCAGTAGGTCTCAACAGTGGGCTTAAAACGTTCAATGCTGTAAAAAGATGTCCTGTCATCCAGACTTTGCTGTTCCATTTCTAGAGCACTGATAGATTTAGCATAATTCTTAATGGCTCTAGGATTTTCAGGTGGTAAGTGAGCACTGGCTTCAACTTAAAGCCACCAGCTGGATTAGCCTGTACTAAGAGAATCAGCCTGTCTTTTGAAGCTTTCAAGCCAGGCATTGACTTCTCTTCTCTAGCTAGGAAAGTTCTAGATGGCATTTTCTTCAACAGAAGACTGTTTCATCTACATTGAAAATCTGTTGTTTTGAGTCAGGCATGGTGGCTCATGCCCGTAATCCCAGCACTTTGGGAGGCCAAGGCAGGTGGATTACTTGATGTCAGGAGTTTGAGACCAGCCTTGCCAACATGGTGAAACTCCGTCTCTACCAAAAAATTAGCTGGGCGTGGTGGCAGGTGCCTGTAATCCCAGCTACTCAGGTGGCTGAGGCATGAGAATCACTTGGGAGGCTGAGTGAGACTCGAAAATCACTTGAACCCAGGAGGCAGAGGTTGCAGTGAACCAGATTGTGTCACTTCACTCTAGCCTGTGCGGTACAGTGAGACTCAGTCTCAAAAAAAAAAAAAAAAAGAAAGAAAAGAAAAGAAAATCTGTTGTTTAGTGAAGCCACATTCACCAATCATCTTAGCTAGCTCTTTTGGACAACCTGCCGCAACTTCTCCACCAGCACTTGCTGCTCCACCTTGCACCTTTATGTTACGGAGATGGCTTCTTTCCTTAAACCTCATGAACCAACCTCTGCTAGCTTCCAACTTTTCTTCTGTAGCTTCCTCACCTCTCTCAGTCTTCATAGAAGTGAATAGAGTTAGGATTTTGCTCTGGATTAGGCTTTGTCTTGAGGGAATGTTATGGCTGGTTTGATCTTCTATCCAGACAAGTACAATTTTCTCCATACCAGCAATAAGGCTACTTCACTTATCATTTGTATGTTCACTGAAGTAGCACTTTTAATATCTTGGTGCTTTTCCTGTGACTTAAAAATTCATGTTTTTTAAAAAAGTAATACAGCACAAAATGCAAAATGCAGAGAGAAATGTGTATTAAAAAGCAATTACCCTTTCCTTTCTGCCCATCAGCCTCAAATTCTAACCCTTAGAAACCACAGTTATTAGTTTGTTGTGTTTTTTTATAGAACTGTTCTATGCATGTTCATGTTGTCTCTAACTTAGCTTATGGTGTCTTCTCTTTTAGGGCGATTTTAAATTTGTATATATTGAACAACCTGTCTTGTTCTGTAAATTTAAACACGTTCCTTTGGCACTGTATTTCCTGTATTTTATTAGTAAGACAGAGACTTCAGGCTTGCCTTTTTGTTTTATGGCAAGATTACTTCATAACTTACCTTGTACACTTCTTTTTTTTTTTGAGATGGAGTCTCGCTCTGTTGCTCAGGCTGGAGTGCAGTGGCGTGATCTCGGCTCACTTCAAGCTCGGCCTACCGGGTTCACGCCATTCTCCTGCCTCAGCTTCCCGAGTAGCTGGGACTACAGGCGCCCGCCACCACACCCGGCTAATTTTTTTGTAGTTTTAGTAGAGACGGGGTTTCACCGTGTTTGCCAGGATGGTCTCTATCTTCTGACCTCATGATCCACCTGCCTCGGCCTCCCAAAGTGCTGGGATTACAGGGGTGAGTCAATGCGCCCGGCATGTTGTACACCTTTTTTAGGAGCCATATAATGGCTGGTTGTCTCTACATTGCCAATGATCATTATTTCATTAAAGATTACAAAAATGGTAATACTCTAATTCTCATTCCTTCCTCCTTCATTTATTTGTTAGATATGTCCATAGAGAAAACATTCCTCTACTCAATTACTTGCTTACCTCAAGTTACAACTGGTATAGTCAAATTGGATATAAATGTTGGATTTTTTTCCCTAATATCTTTCAAGGGAGTTTTTCTTTAGTAAGATCATGAACACATGGATTTAAACATGTTTGATATTAGTACTGATACTCTCTAATATCAACAGAGACTTTTCTACATACAAGATGATATCATCTGCATCCCCCTCTTTGGCCTTTGGAAGTCTCTTCAAGTTGGATTCAGCTTATCCTGAATCTTTTTGACCCAAACCTAGTAGTTTTCGACATCTTTTTTGCTATTTGGTATAACAAGGTATTCCAGACTTATCTATTTCCTGCCATAGATCTTGAATCAGACATTTCTCCCAGGAGCCCTTGTTCATTTAAGTGGAAAATAAATACTTTTGTAGTCACATTTCATTATTGCTGAAGTGGTTCTTATTTCTAGGCCTATTCAGTGGATGGAGCTAGGATATATGCACTTGTTTTGAAGGCAAAGTCAACATAAGATTATAGTGATATTTCCAGTAGAAATTTAGCGCTTCAGGATATTGACTGAAACTCAGATATCTTTCATTGTTTCTTCTTTCTCCAGAACCCAAAATCCCAGTTTTGCTATACCAACAAAATTACTTATTATCTTATCACAAAACACAAATCTTGTAATCTTAGAATAAGTCAGCTTTTTTACTATCCACAGTGTCACTACAGAAAGCAGTTTACAGTTTTAAAGGTTGTTTTCATCCTTAGGTTACATATCACACAAGAGTCAAATTAACTGTTTCAAGTATTTTGTCATTACAAGCAGTGCTGCAGTAAATATAGTCATATGTACATCTTTTTGTCTTCTGATGCAATTTAATTATTTTTTAACAACTTATTGAGATATAATCCACATACCATATAAGTCCCCATTTAAAGTGTGTTTTTTTAATTTTTTCTTTTTTTTCACAAGTCTCACTCTGACGCCCAGGCTGCAGTGCAGTGGCATGATCTCGGCTCACTGCAACCTCCGCCTCCTAGGTTCAAGCGATTCTCATGCCTCAGCCTCCCAAGTAGCTGGGATTACAGGTGTGTGTCACCATGCCCAGCTAATTTTTGTATTTTTAGCAGAGACAGGGTTTCGCCATCGTGGCCAGTCTGGTCTCAAACTGCTGGACTCAAGCAATCTGCCCACCTTGGCCTCCCAAAGTGCTGGGATTACAGGCTTGAGCCACCACGCCTGGCCTAAAGTGTTTATTCAGTGACTTTTAGTATATTCACAGAGTTGTGCAACTGTCACCACAATCAATTTTAGAACAGTTTTCACCCCCAAAAGAAACACCACTCTCCTTAGCCATCATTCTCCAAGCCTCCCTGTATCCAGCCCTTGGCAATCAATAATGTACTTTCTGTTCCTTAGAATTGCCTACTCTGGACATTTCATATAAATGAAATCTATATAACACATGGGTTATTGTGACTTATTTCATTTATCATTTTTTGAAGTTTCACCCATGTTGTAGCATGTGCCAATACTTTACTTTTATCATTTCTTTAATCAAGTTGGCACACTTACAAGCAGAAAAGAAGATATGGTCTTTTATATTACATTTTGTAAATCTATGTCATTTAATTCTAAATCATCTAAAATAATTTCTCTGAGTTTTTCCTATTATATTGCAGGAAAGGCAAATTATCATATTAGAAAGAAAGGAGACTAAAGCAAGAACTGCATTTAAATCCTGTCCCTGCTAAATTTCATTTTTGGCAAGTTATTAACATTTATGCCCAATGTTCCATTATTGGAACGCTAAGCTTGTGGGAGTTATTTATATCCTGCTGCTCAAGGTCATCGCCAAGGTCTGATTTTTCACAAAAAAAAATTTTGCAGCCGCCGGCATAAATGGGTTAACCCCCGAGTTTCAGTTTTCTTATCTGCAAAGTGGGTAAACATCACATACCTAACATGGATTGAGACAGCATGTGCAAAAGCTCCCAGCATCTAAAGCAGAGAAGACAACAACCAACTTTTAAAATAAGCCTTCCTTTTAGAACACAAAGTCTCAAAAATAGTGTGTAAATAATATAAACAAGCTTTTTCAGGTATTGATATAATTTATAAAGAGCCCAAAACAAGCCACAGATAGCAATAACATGTAATAGTGCACTTAACCTAAAAAATGGACAAAGATTATAATAGGCAATTAATAAAAGGATGATCAACGAAGAGATGCTCATTCATTTGCATAAATATTTGTTGACAGAATGTACCTTTATTAAATAAACATTTTGTCTTGAAACAATTTTAAAGTTACGGGAAAGTTGCAAAGAGAGTACAGAGAGTTCCCAGATATCCTCTATTGAGCTTCTCCTAACGTTAGCATCTTCCATAATCAAGGTACATTTGTCAAAATTAAATGATTAATACTGGTACAATAATATTATTAACTGAATTACAGACTTTATGTGTATTTCACCAGTTTTCCCACTAATATCTTTTTTTGATTCTAAGATCCAATCTAGGATTCCATTTGCATTTAATCGTCGTGTTTCCTTGGTCTCTCCAATCTGATAGCTTTTCAGACTTTTCCTTGTTTTTTATGGCTTTGACACTTGTGAAGAGTAGTAATCAGGTATTTCATATTTTGTAAAATTTCCTTCAATCTGAGTTTTAATATGTTCTCATGATCAGGCTGGGATTGTGGGTTATGGGACTAATACCACAGATGTGCTACCACATGAGTTATCACTGGTGATTTTAACACTTAACACTTGACTAAGGTGGAGTCTGACTGATTTCCTAACTATAAAGTTATTCCTTTTTTCTTTTCCATATTGTCCTCTTTGGAAACAAATCACTAAGTCCAGTCCACAAGGAGAGAGAAAAGCTCACCTCCAGAAGGGGATAGTATTTATATAATTATTAAAAATTATTCCTTAAGGAAGATTTGTCTGTTTTCTCCGAAGAATTCATCAATTCATTTGTTTATATCAGTATGGATTGAAGGATGTTTTCTGAGTAAAATATAACATCCCATTTTGTTGCTGAAACTGTTCCGTGCTTTAAAAAAAAAAAAAAAGTACCTCCTTACTTTCTGACCCCATAAGATACTCCAGGCTCATCTTGTATTTTACCTGTCCCAGATGCAGCATTAGCCATTTCTCCAGGAAGCCCTGCTTCCTTTTATTGAAAAATGGTATGCAGAAACCAAGATTAGGGTAGACGCTGAATGAGTCTGTAGCTACCGGGGTGACACTGCTTCTAGGCCTTTACACACATGTACACTAAGCCATGTATCCACTCATATCTGAGGTTAGTTCTATATATATTTATCCATATACATATTAAAATAAACATGAATCTCTGCTCATACATCTCTCCAGAGCCAGAGTTCATTCTAGTTTCCCTGTTGTTTACTTGTAACTTCTTACTCTGACAGAGAGAAACTTGGCTCTAAACACCCACAATATGTTCACTTATTGTTCATTCCTAGAATAGAGGTAGAGTAGTTTTAGGACTGCTAATCTGTACCTGTAAGAAACAAATTTACCAACTAGAGTTCAATGTTTTTGTCTTTAGTCTTACATTATCCAGTCAAAACATTACCTGTTTTCCAAAGTTACTTAGGTCAGTTCCTTTCCCCCCTACCACTTTCATTAAGATATGTCATGCATTTATAATATAGTTAGATTCATCAGTTATAGTTTCCATTTCATCCTGGGATCCCCTGACATTTTGGTTGATTTTTTAATTTACACCAGGAAAGTTCATTCTACAAATGAATGGATAGAATCCATCTACCATCCCATTACCACACAGAACAACAGTTCTATCACACCCCTTTTGCAGCTGACCCCTCCCCCACCTCCTGGTAACCACCTATCTGTTTTCTGTTCTTATTAGCTGCCTTTTCCGGTATGTCATGTAAATGGAATAATACTATACACTGCCTTTTAGTTCTAGCTTTGCTCAGCAAAATGCATGTGATATTTATTCATGTTGTTGCAGGAATAACCAACTCACTCCACTTCATGGTTGAGTAGTATTCCACTGTACCACTTACTGAAAGACATCTTGGTTGTTCCTAGTTTTTGTCAATTTATAAATAAAGCTGCTATAAACATTTGCATATAGGTTTCTGTGTGAACAAAAGTTTTCAATACATTTAGGTAAATACCCAGAAGTGATATTTAAGAAACTATCAAACTGACTTCCAAAGTGGCTATGCCATTCTGCATTCCCACTGGCAATAAATGAGAATGCCTGCTGCTCCAGATCCTTGCCATTATTTATTTATTGTCTGTTTGTAACAATTCTAACAACTATGACATAGCATCTAATTGTGATTTTAATTTCCATTCTGTAATGATAAATGATGTTAAGTATCTTTTCATATCCTTGTTTGCCATCCATATATCTTCTTTGGAGAAGTACCTATTCAGATCTTTTGTCTTTTTTTTTTTCAATTAGCTTTTTTGTTTTCTTCCTATATTAGTTTCTTATTACTGCTGTAACAAATTGTCACAAATATGGTGTCTTAAAACAATACAAATTTACTATCTTACAGTTCTGCATGTTAGAAATTTGTCAGACATCTCCCTGGCCTAAAATTAAGGTGTCAGTAGGACTGTGTTCCTTTCTTGAGGTTCTAGGGGAAAGTCCATTTCCATGCTTTTTCTAGCTTCTAGAAATCACGCCTGCCCCTTGGCTCATATTTCTCTTTCTTCATTTTCCAAGCCAACATCATTGGATTGAGTCTTTTTCACATCGTATCTCTGACTTCCTCTTCTACATCATCACTCCCTTTTGGATTAGGATGTAGGCATCTTTGGGTGATGGGGGTGTGGGGGCATTATTCTTCCTATCACACTTACTGGCAAGTTCTTCAGAGTCCTTTGTATATTTTGGATAATCCAAGTCACTTGCTGGACTTGGAATTTCCAAATGTTTTCTCCCATTCAGCACTTGACTTTTCATTCTTGTTAACAGTGCCTTTCTTAGAGTGAAAGTTTAAAAGTTTAAACTTTTGATAATAAAGTCCAATTTCTCAAAAAAGTTTTAATGAGTTGTGTTTTTGGTGTCAATTTTAAGTACTCATCACCTAAGTCAAAATTATGGAGATTTTCTTAAATGTTTTCTTCTAGAAGTTTTATAGTTTTATGTTATACATTTTAGTTCTATGATGCATTCTGAGTTAATTTTTGTACAAGTTGTGTGGTACATGTTGACGTATTGAGGGTCTTTTTTTTTTTTTTTTTTTTTGCATAAAGCTGTTCATTGTTCCAGTACCATTTATTGAAAAAACTACCCTTTTCCTGTGGAATTTCTTTTTAGCTTCTGCCAACAGTCAGTTGATAATATTTGTGTGGGTCTATTTCTGAGCTCTCTATTCTGTCTCACTGAATTATATGTTTATCCTTTGGCCAGGACCCCACTGGCTTGACTTATGTAGCCTTATATTAAAATTGGGTAGTGTGAATTCTCAACTTTGTTCCTCTTTTTCCATTTCAAATTTTGGGGGCTCTTCTAGTTCACTTGCCTTTCCACATAAGTTTTAGAATTAGCTTGTCAATATCTACAAAAAATATGCTGGGATTTTGATCATGATTACACTGAATATATATGTCACACTGGGGCAAACTGACATCTTAACAATATTGAGCTCAATTGCACTAATACTTAATGACATACACATTAAATAAAAGTAAGATACCTCCAGTTACCAGACTTGCAAAGATCACAAAAGAAGGGTTAAAAATGGCGAGGTTACACAGAAACATGAACTGTATGTTTTGCTGGTTAGGTACAAATTGGTTCAATCTTTTTGGAAGGCAAACAGTAATTCATACAAATTTTTTTTTGTGCTTCCTCTTTCACCCAGCAATTTTATTTCTAGGAATTTCTGGCACATATACTTGCAGAACAGTTATGTACCAGAATGTTTACCATAGTACTGAATGTAACATACATATATATTTTAAATTTAAGCTTCTATATTGGAGACAGGTTAAACAAATGGGACTTTCATAAAATGGAAAACAATGCAGTCATTAAGGCAAAACTAAATGTGTAAATAAGAGTAAAAATCAAGTTCTAACTATGATGAGGATACACTGAAGAAGTCTCCATATAGCAGAGAACATGCAGATTAACTCAGAAAACTGATACTAGTATTGTAAAGTGTAGAGGAGGGGAAGGCAAACAGGAAAGAAAACTATCTCATTATTATAATATGAAGAACTTAACTATTATGGGTAATGCATGAGTAGACCATTCTAATTTCTTCTAACATTGACCTGCTTTTGAATCTTCAAACAATTACCATCTCCTGGTCTTGGGTTTTTCCATCTATGTCAGAAATTATTACATATCTAAGTCAGTAGTCTATGGACAGGGCATAGCAAACACATTTTATCCAATTCTCAAAATGATCTTTGATCCAAAAAAGATGAAGAACAGCTAATTTCTAGGAACTTTTCCAGTGTTAACATTATATTTATTCAGATTATATACAGAAACAAACAGCAGAAGTAATTCCAAGTAAGAGAATACATTTTGTGCTAAAACTTTCTTTGAGGAAGGGCTACTAAGTATATTGAAAAAGGAACAAAAATGGCAATCAGATTTTTGTTCTTTATGGTAATTAATTTTGTTGGATCTCAACTTTCTCACCCGTAAAATCAGGAGTCAGAATTAGTCTTATTTCAATTAAAGTGCCCTACAAGTAAGAACATTCTCAGATAATCTGTCCTATTGAAGTTTGGGCTAATTAATAGAACTTGCTTAGTCTGACCTATAGAAAGGTTAGATTTTTTTCTGTCAAGACAGAAAGGAAAAATACAGACATGCTTAGCCTTTAAGGCCATGTTTTAGAAATTTTGTGTACTGAGTTACAAGAGTTCCCGTCTGTTTAATTTTATATTCTTGATAATATTATATTACCTTTCACTTCTTTTACAAGGAGGAGCAGATGCAGGTTTGGCAGACCGTTTTTAGAAGGTTAGATTTCAACAGCACTACAGCAAACCTACCTATGCTTAATCTCTTTTCTGATCTTGTCATCCTATCACTGTATTTTTTTCTAAAGTACTTTGTCTTTACAGATGCTCTTTGACTTATGATGGGGTTACATCCTGACAAACCCATCATGAGTTGAAAATATCTACTACTAAACGTCATAGCTTAGCCTAGCCTACCTTAAATGTGATCAGAACACTTAAATTAGTCTAAAGTTGGGCAAAAGCACCTAACACAAACTCTATTTTATAACACAGTGTTGAATACCTCATTAATTTATTGAACACTGTACTGAAAATGAAAAACAGAATGTGGATACTAAGTATGGTTTTAATTTATGATGCAGAAATAGTATTTTCAGAAATAATGGCTAAATGATGACACAACAATGGCAGGGTAAGAAACTCTAGTAATCAATTCCTCCACTGAAACCATTGAGCTAGCAAGAACTCTCAGAATCAATGATTTCAGAACTCTAGACTCTAGCTGAAGACTTGTGGCATCCAGGTGACTGCTTGATGAATAAAGAAGCTGGTAAATTTCAGCATTTTGCACAGCAACTATCACTTCCAGACCTGCAGAAGGCAGTGAGGGGAGAAAGGCCCAAGTTCCTGGTGCAGCTTCCTGCTGCTAGGGCAGAAAATAAGGACCCTGTCTAACAAAAATCAGAGTTGTATATTTGAATCTGCCTAGTGGTTCAATGACTGGCCAGCAATGTTTCAATCCCCTCAAGTAGAAGTAGATTTCCTGGAGGCCTCTGTTGAAATAATTTAAAGAAACAGAACACCTATTTTTTTTCTCCTTTACTTATTGGTTCCAGGCATTCAGGTAAACTGCTGTCAGGTCACCAGCTGGCTGTAGAGAATATGAAATAGAGACCTCAGTGACCACACATGACAAGGATAGTTTTCGCAAAATATCGCAAAAACATGACAAGGATAGTTTTCGCAAAAATAGTTTGGAAAGTTACTAAATAAACGAGTAACTGCAGCCTTTGAGAAGTATCAGCACCAGCTGGGTGTGGTGGCTCACTGCCTATAATCCCAGGAGTTTGGGAGGCCGAGGCGAGTAGATCACTTGAGGTCAAGAGTTTGACCTTGGCCGACATGGTGAAATCCTGTCTCTACTAAAAATACAAACAAAAATTAGCCGGGCGTGGTGGTGTATGCCTGTAATCCCAGCTACTTGGGTGGCTGAGGCAGGACAATCACTTGAATATGGGAGGCAGAAGTTGCAATGAGCTGAGATCACATCCCTGCACTCCAACCTGGGCAACAGAGTGAGACTCTGTCTCAACAACAACAACAACAACAACAACAACAACAACAAAAGGAAAGTAACAGCAGTGTTCCCTGGGGAGGAAAAATATAATTTTCAGAGTTACCACATTACAATACTCAAAATGTCTACTTCTCAACTAGAAATGACAAAGCATACAGAGAAACCAGGAAAGTATAAGCTATGCACAGGAAGAAAATTGACAAAAACAATTTCTGAGGGAAGCCCATACATTGGATTTACTAGACAAAGACTTTAAATATGTTCAAAGAGCTAAAGAAAAGCATGGAACAGGAATGAAAGGAAACCAGGAGAACAATGTGTGAACAAGTAGGTAATATTAACAAAAAATAGAAGTTATAAAATTAACCAAGCAGGAATTCTGGAGTTGAAAAGCACAATAGCTGAAAGAAAATAAAATTATAAGAGCTGAAATTAAAAAAATCAATATAGGAGTTCAAGAGCACATCTCAGCATCCAGAAGAAAGAATCAGTGAACTTGGAAACAGGGAAATTTACTCAGTCTGAGTATCAGAAAGAAAAAGGATGAAGAAAAATAAACAGTCCAGAAGGAACTTGGGAGAAATGATCAAGCATACCAACTTACACATTATGAGAATTAAAGAAGGAAAAGAGAGGGAGAAAGGAGCAGTAAGGAAGAGAAGAAATAACGAAATGAAAAACACACCAAATTTGCTGAAAGATATGACTCTATAAATCCCAGAAGCTCAGTGAATTGAAGCAGAATAAATTAAAAGAGATCCACACAAAGACACATTATAAAGAAACTGCTGAAATAAAAAGAAAATCTTCAAAGTAGTGAGTAAGAATTGAGTTATCACATACAAAGATTCTCAATAAGACTAACAGCAGGTTTCTCATCAGAAAACATGGAGGTCAGAAGGCAGTGGGATCATCTAACTGCTGAAAGAAGAAAAAAACTGTTGACTAAGCATTTGATATCTAGTAACACTCTCCTTCAAAAATAAAGGAAAAATTAAGACGTTCCTAGATTTAAAAAAATTTTTAAGAAGCTAAAGAAGCCCATTACTAACAGACTAGCCCCATTAAGAAATGCTGAAGGAAGATCTTCAGGTTGAAATGAAAGAAAACATTATACTGTAACTCGAAGGCGTACAGAGAAATAGAGATCTCTGATAAAAGTAAGTACACAGATAAATAAATGCCAATATTATTGTATTTTTGGTTTGTAACCCTTCTTTCTGCTTCCAATATGATTTAAAAGGCATTAACTGTAAATATATGTTAACAAGAACACAATGTATACAGATGTAATTTGTGGCAATAATAATAATGCAAAGGGGAGGGGACAGAGCTAGATATGAGGAGAGTTAATGTATGCTATTCAAGTAATCTTAATATCAAGTCAAAGTAAATTCAGGATGTTTAGTGTAAACCCCATGGACACCACTAAGAAAATAATTTTAAAATTATACAAAATGAATTGGAGAAGGAATTAAAACTGGCACTAGAAAAAATATCAATCAAAGAAGAAGGCAGTATAGGAGGAACTGAGGAACAAAAGCATATAGAAAAACAGCAAAATAGCACAACTAAGTGGTTCATTATTGATAATAACTTAAAATAACCTATATTTTTAATGTAAATAGATTAAACTCACCAATTAAAAGGCAATGGGGAAAACAAAAAACTTTCTTCATATGGCTTTGAATTACAGTGTAGGGTTCTTTCATTTCAGTCTGAAGGACTTCCATTAGCATTTGTTGTCAGACAGGTCTACTAGTGATGGACACCCTTAACTTCTCTCTTTTGAACTTTTTTTAAAAAAGATCTGGGAACGTTTGCACACTGTTGGTGGGAATGTAACTTAGTACAGCCATTATGGAAAACAATATGGAGGCTCCTCAAAAAGTTAAAAACAGAATTACCATATGATCAAGCAATTTCACTACTGGGTATAAATCCAAAGGAAATGAAATAGGTATGTTGAAGAAATATCTCCACTCCCACGTTCACTGCAGCATTATTTGGAACAGACAAGATATGGAATCAACCTAAGTGTCCAACAACAGATGAATGGATAAAGAAAATGTGGTATATACATACAGTGGAATGCTATTCAGCCTTAAAAAAGAAGGATATCCCGTCATTTGCAACAACATGAGTGAACTTGGAAGACATTATGTTAAGTGAAATAAGCTATCCACAGAAAGGTAAATATTGCATAATCTAACTTATATGTGGAATCAAAAAAACCTGAACTCCTCATAAAAGTAGAGAGCAGAATAGTGGTTACCAGGGACTGGAGGAAGGTGAAGTTGGGGACAGATTGGTCAAAGGATACAAAATTCCAGTGGGATAGGAGAAATAAGTTCAAGAAGACTATTGTACAATATGGTAACTATGATTAATAACCATGTATTGCATGCTTGGAACAAATTTAGTTTTATTTCAAACTGAAAATAAAAAATAAACACAGCCGGGTGCAGTTGCTCATGACTGTAATCCCAGCACCTTGGGAGGCCGAGGTGGGCAGATCACTTGAGGTCAGGAGTCTGAGACCAGACTGATCAACATGGTGAAATCCTGTCTCTACTAAAAATACAAAAAATTAGCTGGGCATGGTGGTGGGCGTCTGTAATCTCAGCTACTTAGGAGGCTGGGGCAGGAAAATCACTTGAACCCGGGAGGCAGAGGCTGCAGTGCACCGAGACCATACCACTGCACTTCAATCTGGGCGACAGAGTGAGACTCCGTCTCAAAAAATAATAAAAATAAACACAAGAATAGCTAGGAAATTAATGAATATAAAGATCTGTGAAAGGTGGGAAAGGAGGCAGGGTAGAACTACTCCAAGGTATAAAAACATGCTACAAACCTCTTTCATTAAACAGTATGGTACTGGCACAAGAATAAGCTATCAAATCAATGGAATAAAATATAATTTCTAGAATTAGATCCAATTACATATAAACATCTAGTATATGATAAAACTGGTATCTCAAATCATTGGGTCAAAGATGCTCTGGTTAATACACAGTGTAGGGCGGGGAGGGATCCCAAAGCCCTGGGCCATGGACTGGTACCAGTCCATAGCCTGTTAGGAACTGGGAGTCACAAAGCAGGAGATGAGCGGAGGGCAAGCCAGCATTATCACCTGACAGCTCCGTCTCCTCTCAGGTCAGCAGCAGCATTAGATTATCACAGGAGCAGGAAACCTACTGTAAACTGTGCATGGGAGGGATCTAGGTTGTGTGCTCCTTATGAGAATCTAAGTGATGCCTGATGGTCTGAGGTGGAACAGTTTCATGCCAAAACCGTCCCCTTCACCCCACCCCCCCATTCTGTGGAAAATCTGTCTTCCATGAACCTGGTCCCTAGTGCCAAAAAGGTTGAGGATGGTTGGTGTAGGGAATACCGGATAGCCATTTGAAAAAAGGTAAAAGTAGATTCATTCCTTCCACTACACCCAAGAATAAACTCCAAATGGATCAGAGATATAAATATAAAAAGTAAATCTATATATGCACCAAAAGAAATAATCAGTGAATTCCTCTAAAACCCATCTGTAAGGAAAGGGTTCCTAACTATGACTAAAATCCTAGATGCAATTAAAAACAAAATAAGATGATACGTTGGAAAATGTGCATAGCCAAAGAAAACTCATTAACAAAATCAAAGGTAACTGACAAAATTGGGAAAAACATTCACAGCATATATCGCAGATAAATAGTTACATTCTTAATAAATCAAGGATTTTTTTTTTTTAAATTGAGGAAAATCAACCTATAGAAATCCTATAGAAAAATGGGCAGGGAGGCTGGGCATGGTCACTCATGTCTGTAATCCCAGTACTTTGGGAGGCAGAAGCAGGCAGATCATGTGAGCTCAAGAGTTCGACACCAGCCTACGCAACATGGAGAAACCCCATGTCTATGAAAAAAAAATACAAAAATTAGCTGGGCATGGTGGCATGTGCCTGGGCACAGTGGCATGTGTCTGTAGTCCCAGCTCCTTGGAAGGCTAAAGTGGGAGGATCACTTGAGCCTGGAAGGAGAAGGTTGCAGTGAGCCAAGATCATGCCACTGTACTACAGCCTGGGCAACAGAGTGAAACCCTGTCTGAAAACAAACAAAAAAACAAACAAATGGGCAAAGATTTGAATAAACAACTCAAAGGAGATATAAAAATGCTTGTTAATTATGTAAAAACATATGTAATTTCATTCATATAAAAGAGAAATGCAAATTAAAATTACAATAAAAGTCAATTTTTTCACCCATCAAATTAGCAACAAATTCAAAAGCTTAAAAATACATTCTAGGACTGGCAGCCAAGATGGCCGAATAGGAACAGCTCCCATCTACAGCTCCCAGCGTGAGTGACGCAGAAGACGGGTGATTTCTGCATTTCCATCTGAGGTACTGGGTTCATCTCACTAAGGAGTGCCAGACAGTGGGCGCAGGACAGTGGGTGCAGCGCACCGTGTGTGAGCCGAAGCAGGGCGAGGCATTGCCTCACTCCAGAAGTGCAAGGGGTCAGGGAGTTCCCTTTCCTAGTCAAAGAAAGGGGTGACAAACAGCACCTGGAAAATCGGGTCACTCCCACACTAATACTGCGCTTTTCCGATGGGCTTAACAAACAGTGCACCAGGAGATTATATCCCGCACCTGGCTTGGAGGGTCCTACGCCCACGGAGTCTCGCTGACTGCTAGCACAGCAGTCTGAGATCAAACTGCAAGGCAGCAGCGAGGCTGGGGGAGGGGCGCCCGCCATTGCCCAGGCTCGCTAGGTAAACAAAGCAGCCGGGAAGCTCGAACTGGGTGGAGCCCACCACAGCTCAAGGAAGCCTGCCTGCCTCTGTAGGCTCCACCTCTGGGGGCAGGGCACAGACAAACAAAAAGACAGCAGTAACCTCTGCAGACTTAAATGTCCCTGTCTGAGAGCTTTGAAGAGAGCAGTGGTTCTCCCAGCATGCAGTTTGAGATCTGAGAACGGGCAGACTGCCTCCTCAAGTCGGTCCCTGACCCCTGACCCCCGAGCAGCCTAACTGGGAGGCACCCCCTAGTAGGGGCAGACTGACACCTCACACGGCTGGGTACTCCTCTGAGACAAAAATTCCAGAGGAACGATCAGACAGCAGCATTCGCGGTTCACGAAAATCTGCTGTTCTGCAGCCACTGCTGCTGATACCCAGGCAAGCAGGGTCCAGAGTGGACCTCTTGCAAACTCCAACAGACCTGCAGCTGAGGGTCCTGTCTGTTAGAAGGAAAGCTAACAAACAGAAAGGACATCCACACCAAAAACCCATCTGTACATTACCATCATCAAAGACCAAAAGTAGATAAAACCACAAAGATGGGGAAAAAACAGAGCAGAAAAACTGGAAACTCTAAAAAGCAGAGCGCCTCTCCTCCTCCAAAGGAAAGCAGTTCCTCACCAGCAACAGAACAAAGCTGGACAGAGAATGAGTTTGACGAGTTGAGAGAAGAAGGCTTCAGACGATCAAACTACTCCGAGCTATAAGAGGAAATTCAAACCAAAGGCAAAGAAGTTAAAAACTTTGAAAAAAATTTAGATGAATGTATAACTAGAATAACCAATACAGAGAAGTGCTTAAAGGAGCTGATGGAGCTGAAAGCCAAGGCTCGAGAACTACGTGAAGAATGCAGAAGCCTCAGGAGCCGATGCGATCAACTGGAAGAAAGGGTATCAGTGATGGAAGATGAAATGAATGAAATGAAGTGAGAAGGGAAGTTTAGAGAAAAAAGAATAAAAAGAAACGAACAAAGCCTCCAAGAAATATGGGACTATGTGAAAAGACCAAATCTACGTCTGATTGGTGTACCTGAAAGTGACGGGGAGAATGGAAACAAGTTGGAAAACACTCTGCAGGATATTATCCAGGAGAACTTCCCCAATCTAGAAAGGCAGGCCAACATTCAGATTCAGGAAATACAGAGAACGCTACAAAGATACCCCTCGAGAAGAGCAACTCCAAGACACATAATTGTCAGATTCACCAAAGTTGAAATGAAGGAAAAAATTTTAAGGGCAGCCAGAGAGAAAGGTTGGGTTACCCTCAAAGGGAAGCCCATCAGACTAACAGCGGATCTCTCGGCAGAAACTCTACAAGCCAGAAGAGAGTGGGGGCCAATATTCAACCATATTAAAGAAACAAATTTTCAACCCAGAATTTCATATCCAGCCAAACTAAGCTTCATAAGTGAAGGAGAAATAAAATACTTTACAGACAAGCAAATGCTGAGAGATTTTGTCACCACTAGGCCTGCCCTACAAGAGCTCCTGAAGGAAGCACTAAACATGGAAAGGAACAACCGGTACCAGCCGCCGCAAAATTATGCCAAATTGTAAAGACCATCAAGGCTAGGAAGAAACTCCATCAACTAACGAGCAAAATCACCAGCTAACATCATAATGACAGGATCAAATTCACACATAACAATATTAACTTTAAATGTAAATGGACTAAATGCTCCAATTAAAAGACACAGACTGGCAAATTGGATAAAGAGTCAAGACCCATCAGTGTGCTGTATTCAGGAAACCCATCTCACATGCAGAGACACACATAGGCTCAAAATAAAAGGATGGAGGAAGATCTACCAAGCAAATGGAAAACAAAAAAAGGCAGGGGTTGCAATCCTAGTCTCTGATAAAACAGACGTTAAACCAACAAAGATCAAAAGAGACAAAGAAGGCCATTACATAATGGTAAAGGGATCAATTCAAAAAGAAGAGCTATCCTAAATATATATGCACCCAATACAGGAGCACCCAGATTCATAAAGCAAGTCCTGAGTGACCTACAAAGAGACTTAGACTCCCACACATTAATAATGGGAGATTTTAACACCCCACTGTCAACATTAGACAGATCAATGAGAGAGAAAGTTAACAAGGAAACCCAGGATTTGAACTGAGCTCTGCACCAAGCGGACCTAATAGACACCTACAGAACTCTCCACCCCAAATCAACAGAATATACATTTTTTTTCAGCACCACACCACACCTATTCCAAAATTCACCACATAGTTGGAAGTAAAGCTCTCCTCAGCAAATGTAAAAGATCAGAAATTATAACAAACTGTCTCTCAGACCACAGTGCAATCAAACTAGAACTCAGGATTAAGAAACTCACTCAAAACCGCTCAACTACATGGAAACTGAACAACCTGCTCCTGAATGACTACTGGGTACATAACGAAATGAAGGCAGAAATAAAGATGTTCTTTGAAACCAATGAGAACAAAGACACAACATACCAGAATCTCTGGGACACATTCAAAGCAGTGTGTAGAGGGAAATTTATAGTACTAAATGCCCACAAGAGAAAGCAGGAAAGATCCAAAATTGACACCCTAACATCACAATTAAAAGAACTAGAAAAGCAAGAGCAAACACATTCAAAAGCTAGCAGAAGGCAAGAAATAACTAAAATCAGAGCAGAACTGAAGGAAACAGAGACACAAAAAACCCTTCCAAAAATCAATGAATCCAGGAGCTGGTTTTTTGAAAGGATCAACAAAATTGATAGACCGCTAGCAAGACTAATGAAGAAAAAAAGAGAGAAGAATCAAATAGACACAATAAAAAATGATAAAGGGGATATCACCACCGATCCCACAGAAATACAAACTACCATCAGAGAATACTAAACACCTCTACGCAAATAAACTAGAAAATCTAGAAGAAATGGATAAATTCCTCGACACATACACCCTCCCAAGACTAAACCAGGAAGAAGCTGAATCTCTGAATAGACTAATAACAGGCTCTGAAATTGTGGCAATAATCAATAGCTTACCAACCAAAAAGAGTCCAGGACCAGATGGATTCACAGCCGAATTCTACCAGAGGTACAAGGAGGAACTGGTACCATTCCTCCTGAAACTATTCCAATCAATAGAAAAAGAGGGAATCCTCCCTAACTCATTTTATGAGGCCAGCATCATCCTGATACCAAAGCCTGGCAGAGACACAACCAAAAAAGAGAATTTTAGACCAATATCCTTGATGAACATTGATACAAAAATCCTCAATAAAATACTGACAAACCGAATCCAGCACCACATCAAAAAGCTTATCCACCATGATCAAGTGGGCTTCATCCCTGGGATGCAAGGCTGGTTCAATATATGCAAATCAATAAATGTAATCCAGCATATAAACAGAACCAAAGACAAAAACCACATGATTATCTCAATAGATGCAAAAAAGGCCTTTGACAAAATTCAACACCTTCATGCTAAAAACTCTCAATAAATTAGGTATTGATGGGACGTATCTCAAAATAATAAGAGCTATCTATGACAAACCCACAGCCAATATCATACTGAATGGGCAAAAACTGGGAGCATTCCCTTTGAAAACTGGCACAAGACAGGGATGCCCTCTCTCACCACTCCTATTCAACATAGTGTTGGAAGTTCTGGCCAGGGCAATTAGGCAGGAGAAGGAAATAAAGGGTATTCAATTAGGAAAAGAGGAAGTCAAATTGTCCCTGTTTGCAGATGACATGATTGTATATCTAGAAAACCCCATTGTCTCAGCCCAAAATCTCCTTAAGCTGATAAGCAACTTCAGCAAAGTCTCAGGATACAAAATCAATGTACAAAAATCACAAGCATTCTTATACACCAATAACAGACAAACAGAGAGCCAAATCATGAGTGAACTCCCATTCACAATTGCTTCAAAGAGAATAAAATACCTAGGAATCCAACTTACAAGGGACGTGAAGGACCTCTTCAAGGAGAACTACAAACCACTGCTCAATGAAATAAAAGAGGATACAAACAAATGGAAGAACATTCCATGCTCATGGGTAGGAAGAATCAATATCGTGAAAATGGCCATACTGCCCAAGGTAATTTACAGATTCAATGCCATCCCCATCAAGCTACCAATGACTTTCTTCACAGAATTGGAAAAAACTACTTTAAAGTTCATATGGAACCAAAAAAGAGCCCGCATTGCCAAGTCAATCCTAAGCCAAAAGAACAAAGCTGGAGGCATCACGCTACCTGACTTCAAACTACACTACAAGGCTACAGTAACCAAAACAGCATGGTACTGGTACCAAAACAGAGATATAGATCAATGGAACAGAACAGAGCCCTCAGAAATAACGCTGCATATCTACAACTATCTGATCTTTGACAAACCTGAGAAAAACAAGCAATGGGGAAAGGATTTCCTGTTTAATAAATGGTGCTGGGAAAACTGGCTAGCCATATGTAGAAAGCTGAAACTGGATCCCTTCCTTATACCTTAAACAAAAATTAATTCAAGATGGATTCAAGACTTAAATGTTAGACCTAAAACCATAAAAACCCTAGAAGAAAACCTAGGCATTACCATTCAGGACATAGGCATGGGCAAGGACTTCATGTCTAAAACACCAAAAGCAATGGCAACAAAAGCAAAAATTGACAAATGGGATCTAATTAAACTAAAGAGCTTCTGCACAGTGAAAGAAACTACCATCAGAGTGAACAGGCAACCTACAAAATGGGAGAAAATTTTCGCAACCTACTCATCTGACAAAGGGCTAATATCCAGAATCTACAATGAACTCAAACAAATTTACAAGAAAAAAAAAAAACAACTCCATCAAAAAGTGGGTGAAGGACATGAACAGACACTTCTCAAAAGAAGACATTTATGCAGCCAAAAGACACATGAAAAAATGCTCATCATCACTGGCCATCAGAGAAATGCAAATCAAAACCACAATGAGATACCATCTCACACCAGTTAGAATGGCAATCATTAAAAAGTCAGGAAACAACAGGTGCTGGAGAGGATGTGGAGAAATAGGAACACTTTTACACTGTTGGTGGGACTGTGAACTAGTTCAACCATTGTGCAAGTCAGTGTGGCGATTCCTCAGGGATCTAGAACTAGAAATATCATTTGACCCAGCCATCCCATTACTGGGTATATACCCAAAGGACTATAAATCATGCTGCTATAAAGACACATGCACACATATGTTTATTGTGGCACTATTCAAAATAGCAAAGACTTGGAACCAACCCAAATGTCCAACAATGATAGACTGGATTAAGAAAATGTGGCACATATACACTGTGGAATACTATGCAGCCATAAAAAATGATGAGTTCATGTCCTTTGTAGGGACATGGATGAAATTGGAAATCATCATTCTCAGCAAACTATCACAAGGACAAAAAACCAAACACCGCATGTTCTCACTCATGGGCGGGAATTGAACAATGAGAACACATGGACACAGGAAGAGGAACATCACACTCTGGGGACTGTTGTGGGGTGGGGGGAGGGGGGAGGGATAGCATTAGGAGATATACCTAATGCTAAATGATGAGTTAATGGGTGCAGCACACCAGCATGGCATATGTATACATATGTAACTAACCTGCAAATTGTGCACATGTACCCTAAAACTTAAAGTATAATAATAATAAAATAAAAAAATACATTTTATTAGTGAGGTAAGAGAGAAATAGGTAATGCCATATATTTTTGATGGATACAGAAAATGTCATAATCCCTATGAAGGAGAATTTGTCAATATCTAACCAGCTACATATAACCAAATCTCAAGCTAGAAATCCCTGTATGAATTTATCTAAAATATGTATCTCCAACAATATGAAAATATATGATATGGTTTGGCTCTGTGTCCCCACCCAAATCTCACCTCCAATTGTAATCCCCATAATCTCCATGTGTCAAGGCCGAGACCAGGTGTAGGTAATTGGATCATGGGGGCAGTTTCCCCCATGCTGTTCTTGTGATAGTGAGTTCTCAGAAGATCTGATGGTTTTGTAAGCATCTGGCATTACCCCTGCTTGCACTCCCTCCATCATGCTACCCTATGAAGAAGGTGCCTTCTCTTTTCCTTTCTGCTATGACTGTAAGTTTCCTGAGGCCTCCCCAGCAACAGAAAACTGTAAATCAATGAAGCTTTATAAATTATCAAGTCTTGGGTATTTCTTCACAGTTGAGAACAGACTAATAAATACATAATCACAAAGTTATTCGTACAGTATCATTTGTGATTGTAAAGCAATGGAGACTGGGGGGTAAAATACCCTATGATATCCACACAAAATGGAGTACTATGAAGCTATAAGACAGAATGAAGAGGAACTCTATGTATTGAAATGGAATGATTTCCA
Source organism: Homo sapiens (assembly GCF_000001405.40). Lineage (NCBI taxonomy): Eukaryota > Metazoa > Chordata > Mammalia > Primates > Hominidae > Homo > Homo sapiens. Next base: position 171,057,448 of record NC_000005.10, on the reverse strand, counting down.
GGAGATATAATTAAGTGAAAAAAGCAAAATGCAATAAACACATATATAAACATAATTATATAAATATGTATAAAATATGCTAACTTTATTGTACAAAATGAAAACATTTAAAATATATAAAATGGTTTGTCACTATAAAAAGGAACACAGGAACCACAAACCAGAAAACAATCAAGTTGTGGAGGATTTGTGAAAAAATAATCTTGTAAAAGAAATTCTGTGTGTGAACATATTGGCTAAAGTTAAAGTGGTACTCAGTTTTTCCATAAATTGAACATTAGAATAAAAGCACACCAGAATTTTCTTAGAGCATGGATCTGCTCTTTCACAAAAGCTGTAAAAGGCTATAAAAGGTTTATATGAATCTTACCTTAAGGTCATACTGATTGAGACTAGATGGATTTGTCTATAGGGTTTTGTTAAGGTTTGACATCAATAGTGCACTAACGCAAAGGTGAAAGTTAGCTTCCTTTCTTGAACAAGATTTTCATGTTATATTAAAAAATGAAATATTTTTGTTTGCCTTCTGAATAAACTGTAGGAAAAAGGAGGAAAAGAAAAGAGACCGATTGGTTGGAAAGCTGTCTTCCCCTTAATGAGTAAAGGTTTTTGGCTTTAAAAAATTTTTGAGGTATAATTTGGCTAAATCAATGACTTCTGGTGACCTGGGATTTGATTTTACAATATCAAGTGTTTTAAACCTTTAATATATGACAAACTTTCCAAAGTAAAATTATAAATGATGTCTTTTCTAACCTAATTCATCTTTTAGATATTAGGTCCCCTAAAGTCCAAAAGTGACATATAGGGCTTATCTGGTATAAAAATCACAAGAAACACTGTCAAATATAAAATGGTGTTTGGCTTTCCTGGGGATGTATTTGTTTGAATATGTTATTGGTGTTATTGGTATCTGTTCCAAAATTACGGGAAACTCCTGTAATTCTGATATGATTTAGTGCATGTTATCAGTAATAATTATAATTGTTACATAAAATCATTATATGCCACCAAGATAACAAAATTTCTTTGTCAATCATGTTTTTGACTGTGGCTGCCCTAAGACATGTTGTCATTCACAAACGATTGTTATCTTGTTTTGATCCTCTTTAAAAGGTGGTTTATAAGTCAGCTATAGAACTTTGACAGGTGCTCCTGAATGCAGGTTTCTGGTAACTTTGGAGACTGTGGCATTAGAATACAGGAAAAAACTTTCAGGACTCATGGAGAGCTGAAATGTTGGTGATGATAAGTCAGGACAGGAGTTAACTGCATGGACTGAACTAATAGAAAACTGAAGTAATCTTTTTTGGCTTTTTGCTTAAAATGTTACCAATTCTTTGTTTTGGTTTTCAGAGTTAAGAAGATTTTCTTTTGAGCTATTTACAACTTTAAACAATTGAATAAAGTATTTTCCTGTAAACAAAATTTGGAACATATTTGTTTCTCTCTAGCTGATTTCTCCAGAATTTCGAAACTATTTGTGAGTAATCTTAATTTACGGCAACATAGTTTTACTTGCACAAGTGTAATAAGAATGTTTTTTTTTTTGTTTTTTTTTTTTTTTTGGCAACAGGACACAACTGGAGAAACTGGTTGTTTTGCCAAGGCTTTGACTCGAATAGCATGCTTTTCTTAAAGGTATCAAACTTGACTTACAGAGCCAATAAAAGCCCCTTGGGAAAACTGGCCTCATACCTTGTCTATACTGTCCCTATAGAGGGTTCCTGATCTGTGCTAAGTACAGAATGTCACTTTCTAACAGGTCCAGAAGCCCCAAGTTATCTTGGAACCTCAAGATAAGAGGAATTTGCTCAACTCATAGGTATTTGATGGTACAAACCCATGGTTAGGCTCAGCTTTATGAAAAAAAGTCTTGTTTGAGATTCCTTTTTGGAACAAAGTTCCATCAAAGCCAATTTAAAAAGCATATGTGAAAATTAATTATTCTTGCTGAACTTTATACAAATAATCAGGCCAAGTATAAGAATACATCTTATTTTGAGAACAAATCATTCGTACCATGATTTGTCTTTAATAAAAATGGGAGACTGGAGAGAGAAAAATTATGTTTCAAGAAATATGGTACACCTGTTAGTACATGCTAGTTTCATCAGTTGTTTCTGATGTTTTTTTCCTGCAATTCAGACTAACCCTGTCTATTCCTGTAAACCAACCAGTGATTTCTAGCTGCTGCTCACAAGAAACAAGAGGGATGAGTAATGTAAAAATCTGGATCAGTATTCTAATTCTGGACAAACAGGAATCAGCTAGCAACCCCATATCAGTTTGGTTCCGACAGTGGCCCAGTTCATGGAAAGCTCTCTTTACTTGGGATAATTTTGCTTATTTTTCTTTACTGTTGTGGAATACACTGATATTGTACTCTTTGTGTAGATATGCAGGATAAACTCACTCAATGTTTTCTTAAGTTGAACACTTATTAGTCTTCCAGATACCACCTTCTGTCGGATCTCAAGAGTTATGAATGGCCCTCAGCATATGGATGCTTTCTAAATGTGCGCCTCTCCACCCTGAATACAAGAGACCCTAATAGTTAGACATGTATATCATCACCTGTTTTCAGCCTGAAGAAGTTATAGAAGATGCATCATTGTCCCTCTACAACCCTTAAGATTAAGGATTCCCTTGTAAAAGGGAGGGGGGAAACACGTCACAGGTGTCTGAACCAGAGCAATTCCATCTTGAATAGGGGCTGGGTAAAATAAGGTTGAGGCCTACTGGGCTGCATTCCCAGGAGGCTAGGCATTCTAAGTCACAGGATGAGACAGAAGGTCGGCAAAAGGTACAGGTCACAAAGTCCTTGCTGACAAAAGGATGTGGTAAAGAAGCTGGCCAAAATGCACCAAAACCAAGATGGTGATAAAAGTGACCCCTGCTTATCCTCACTGCTCTTTATATGCTAATTATAATGCACTAGCATGCTAAAAAACACTCCCACTAGTGCCATGACAATTTACAAATGCCATGGCAATGTTAGCAAGATACCCTATATGGTCTAAAATGGGGGAGGAACCCTCAGTTCCAAGAACTGCCCACCCCTTTTCCAGAAAACTAATGAATAATCAATCCCTTGTTTAGCATATAATAAAGAAATAACTATAAGTGTAATCGCAGTGAGCAGCCCAAGACACTGGCTCTGCCAATGGAGTAGTCATTCTTTATTCCTTTACTTTCTTAATAAACTTGCTTTCACTTTAAAAATGAACAAGTGAACAAAAAACCCCCGAAAACAAAACCAAACCACACCAGTCAACTATATGCTGCTTACAGGAGACTCACTTTAGATCCAAAGACACAAACAAATTGAAAGTGAAAGGATAAAAAAGGATATTCTATGCAAACAGTAACTAAAAGATAGCTAGAATGGCTATTCAAATATCAGAATACATAGATTTTAAGTAGAGAATTATCATGAGACAAAGAAAGACATATTGATAAAATAGTCATTTCAGTAAGAATATATAACAATGATAAGCATATATGCATCAAATACAGCAATTATATATATATATATATATATATATATATATATATATATATATATATGAACTAAACACTGACAGGATTTGAAGGAAAAAAAGCTAACATCACATTCAATGGTGAAAGACTGAAAGCTTTCCCCCAAGATGAGTAACAAGAGGATGACCACTTTCACCACTGCTATTCAACATTGTACTGGAAGTCCTGGCTAGAGCAATTAGGCCAAATAAATAAATGGCTTACAAATTGCAGAGTGGGGAAAAAAAACAAAACTACCTCTTTACAGATGACATAATTCTATATATAGAAAATCTACAAAAGTCTACAAAAAATCTACTACAGCTAATAAATGAATTCAGCAAAGTTGCAGGGAACATGATCAACAAACAAAAATTCTGTTAAGTTCCTATATACTAGCAATCAACAATCCAAAAGGAAAATTTTAAAAATTCCATTTATAATAGCATTCAAAAGGATACAATATCTAGGAATGAATTTAACAAGGGAGGTGAAAGATTTGTACAATGAAAATTCTACATGGGCAGAAAAATGAAAACAAGACACACTGGGGACTATTAGAAGGGAAGTAAGGGAGCAAGAGTTGAAAAGCTATCTCTTAGATTTTATGTTCAGTACCTGAGTGATGGGATCATTCGTACACTGAACCTCAGCAACACACAATTTACCCATGTAACGAATCTGCACATGTACTACCTGAACCTAAAATAAAAGTTGAGAAAAAAGAGAACTTGCCTAATTAAAAAAAAAAAATTCTAAGGCATTGTTGAAAGAAATTAAAGAAGGCTTAACTAAATAGAAAGACATGGCCGGGCACGGTGGCTCACGCCTGTAATCCCAGGACTTTGGGATGCTGAGGCAGGTGGATCACCTGAGGTTAAGATTTTGAGACCAGCCTGGCCAACAGGATGAAACCCCATCTCTAATAAAAATATGAAAGTAGCTACTTGGGAGGCTGAGGCAGGATAATCGCTTGAACCCAGGAGGCAGAGGTTGCTGTGAGCTGAGATCGTGCCATTGTACCCCAGCCTGGGCAACAACAGTGAAACTCCATCTCAAAAAAAGAAAGACATTTCATGTTCATGGGTTAGAAGACTTAATATTATTAAGATGGCAATACTTATGAAAATAATCTACAGATTAAACACAATACCTATCAAAATTCAATGGCATTTTTGTAGAAACAGAAAATCTGATGTTCAAATTCATTTGCAATTGGAAAGAGTCCTGAATAGCCAAAACAATACTGAAAAACAAAGTTGGAGATCTCATACTTCCTGATTTTACAACTTACTGCAAAGCTACAGTAACCAAAACCGTGTGATAATAGCGTAAGAACAGACATACAGAACAAAGGAACAAAATTGAGAATCCAGAAGTAAACCCTATAATCTATGGATAAATGATTTTTTGACTATGGTGCTAAGATACTTTTATGGGGAAAGAATAGTATCTTCAACAAATGGTGCTGGGACAACTGGATGACCACATGCAAAGGAATGAAGTTGGATCCTATAATCTCACACCCTATACAAAATACAAGAGCTAAAAGTATAAAATATTAGAAAAAAACATAGGGATGAATCTTCATGACCTTGTAACTGTTATTAAATTCTTAGATTTGACTCAAAAACCACAAGCAACCAAAGAATAGATAAATTAGACATCCTCAAAATTAAAGAATCTTGAGCTTCAAAGAATATCGTCAAAAAAGTGAAAAGATAACCTACAAAAAGGGAGAACATATTTGCAAATCATGTATTTGATAAGGGATTTCATATCCAGAATGTATAAACAACACTAACAATTCAACAAGAAAAAGTCAAACGACCCAATTTAAAAATAAGCAAAGGATTTAAAAATCCAGATCCTCCTTCAAAGAATATATACAAATAGCCAACAAACAAATGATGCTAAACCTCAGCTGACGTTAGGAAAATGCAAATCAAAACCACAATAAGCTATAATCTCACACCTACCAAGATGGCTACAATAACATAAAACAACAACAAGAAAGCGACCCTAAAAATAACAAATGTTAACAAGGATGTGGAGAAAGATAAACTCTTTTACATTGCTGGTGGGAATGTAAAATGGTGTGGCCATCATGGAAAATAGTTTGACAGCAATTCAGTTAAAGAATTACCATATGATTTAGCAACTCTACTTTTATGTATATACCCAAGAGAAATGAAAATATATGTCCACATGGTAACTTGTAAAAAAATGTTTACAGCAACATTACTTGTAAGAGCCAAAAGGTGAAATCATCTCAAATCCAAACCAGCTGATGAAAAGATGATCAAAATGTGTAATAGCCATAAAGTGAAATATTAAATAGTATTCAGCCATAAAAAGAAGTTAAGTGAATGTTACAATTTGGATGAACCTTGAAAACATAATGCTAGGTAAAAACAGCAAGACAGAAAAGCTCAAATATTGTATGATTTATTTAATATAAAATATACAGAATTGGCAAATCTATACAGACAGAAAGTAGATTAGTATTATCTTCAAGGGGCAGGGGAAATAAAGAATAGAGAGTGATTACTTAATAGGTACAAAGTATTTCTCTGGAGTGGTGAAAAGTTTTAAAACTAGAGAGAGGTGGCGAATGCACTAAAGGTCACTGAATGTGTATATTCAAAAACACTCAATATAGCATGTGAATTTCACAACAATAAATAAAGAAAAAAGGAATAATAAATTCTCAAGTTCAGCAAAATACATAAACTTACAGTCTCATGAAAGATAAACACAAAGAAATCCAAACCCAGACAATTTTGACATATTGCTGAAAACTAAGGCCAAGAAAAAAGAAATCCTGAAAGCAGCCCAAGAAAAACAGCACATAACATAGAGGGGAATAACAATCCAAATGAACATGGAATTTTTATCAGAAACCACCCAGTCAGATATAAGTAGAACATTTTTAAAATGCTGAAAGGGAAAGAACCATCAAATCAAAATTCTATTACAGAATTACATTCTCTAATTCTAATTCTATTAGAGAATACATCCTTCATGAATAAAGATGAAATAATGACATTCTCAGATAAAAGAAAACTAAGAAAATTCATTGTCTGTGGATCTGCTCTATAAGAAGTAAGGGAATTTCTTCAGACAAAAGGGAAAGTATGTGAGGGGAAAACTTGGACTATCTGGAGTGAAAGAAAACAGAAAGGGTAGATATTTAAATAAATGTAACAATATTACTTTCTTCTTACATTTTTTTTTTAAGATAGGGTCTCACTCTGTCACTCAGGCTGAAGTGCAGTGGCACGATCTCACTCCTGCAATCAAGCCATCCTTCTGCCTCAGCCTCCTGAAGAGCTGGGACCACAGGCACACGTCACAATGCCTAGCTAATTTTTGAATTTTTTGTAGAGACGGGGCTTTGCTGGTCTTGAACTCCTGAGCTCAAGCCATCTGCCCGCACTGGTCTCCAAAGTGCTGGGATTAAAGATGTGAGCCACATAACATATGTATTACAGTTAAAAGCAAAAGTTACAACATTATCTGGTAGGTTTTCAATGTATGTAATATGTTATATACAAAGAGTGAAGAATAAGGGGACTTACATTCTACTTTAAATGGTAAAATATTAATTCTAAGTAGATTGTGAAAAGTTGAATATGTATAATTTCTAGAACAATCATGAAAAATCCATTTGAAGATACTAATAGTAGTTTATAGTTTATAGTAATAAACTCAATAGATAAAATGGAAAACTAAAATGTTAAGTAATCTAAAGGTAGCAAGAAGGAAAAATCAGAGAGGGAACTGCTCAGAGAAATCAGAGTGACACAAAGGAAAAACATTCCATGTTCACGGATAGGAAGAATTAATATTGTTAAAATGGCCATACTGCCCAAAGCAACTTACAGATTCAATGCTATTCCTATCAACTACCAATGTGATTCTTCACAGAATTAGAAAAAACTATTCTAAAACTCACATGGAACAAAAATGAGCCCAAATACCCAAAGCAATCCTAAGCAAAAGAAACAAAGCTGGAGGCATCACATTACCAGACTTCAAACTATAATACAAGGCTACAGTAACTGAAACAGCATGGTACTGGTACAAAAACAGACACATACACCAATGGAACAAAAAAGAGTGTGCAGAAATAATTCTGCATGCCTACAGCCATGTGCTCTTTGACAAAGTGAACAAAAACAAGCAATGAGGAAAAAACTTCATATTCAATAAATGGTGTTGGGATCACTAGCTAGTCACATGCAGAGGATTGAAACTGGACCCCTAGCCTTCACCATATACAAAAATCAATTCAAGATTGATTAAAGCTTAAATGTAAAACCTAAAATTATAAAAACCCTGGAAACTAACCTAGAAAATGCCATTCTGTACATAGGCCTTGGCAAAGATTTCATGACAAAGATATCAAAAGCAAATGCAACAAAATCAAAAATTGTCAAATGAGACCTAATTAAACTAAAGAGCTTCTGCACAGCAAAAATAAACCATCAACAGAGTAAACAGACAACCTACAGAATGGGAGAACACATATGCAAACTATGCATCCAACAAAGGTCTAATATCCAGCATCTATAAGGAACTTAAACAAATTTACAAGAACCTCACTGAAAAGTGGGCAAATGACATGAACTGACACTTTTCAAAAGAAGACATACATGCAGCCAACAAGCATATAAAAAATATTCAGCATCACTAATCATTAGAGAAATGCAAATCAAAATTACAATGGGATACCTCCTCACACCAGTCAGAGTAACTATTATTAAAAAGTCAAAAAATAATACATGCTGGTGAAGTTGCAGAGAAAAGGGAATGCTTATAAACTGCTCTTGGGAATGTAAATTAGTTCAGCCATTGTGGAAAGCAGTGTGGCGATTTCTCGAAGAACTTAAAATAGAATTACCATTCCACCCAGCAATCCCATTATTGGATACACACCCAAAGGAATATAAAGTGTTCTACCATAAAGACACATGCACAAGTATGTTCACTGCAGCAATATTCACAGTAACAAAGACAAGCATATCAACCTAAATGCCCACCAATGGTAGACTGGATAAAAAAATGTGGCACATACACACTGTGCACTACTATGCAGCCATTAAAAAAATGAGATTATGCCCTCTGCAGCAACATGAATGGATCTTGAGGCCATTATCCTAAGCAAACTAACACAGGAACAGAAAATCAAATGCCACATGTTCTCACTTATAAGTGGAAGCTAAACATTGAGTACACAGGGACAGAGAGAAGAGAACAACAGACAGCACAGTCTACTGGAGGGTAGGGGATGGGAGAAAGGAGAGGACTGAAAGACTACCTATCGAGTACTATGGTTATTACCTGGGTGACAAAATAATCTGTACACCAAACCCATGTGACACACAATTTACCTATGTAACAAACCTGCACATGTACCCCTGAACCTAAAAGTTAAAAAAAAAAGAAAAGGGTAGATCTACATCCAAGCATCAGTAATAATTAACTGCAAATGATATAAACACAGCAGTTGAAAGACAGATTGTGTGAACAGATTAAAAACAAGACCTAAAGATATGCTTTTGGGCTAGGCATCCTGGGTCACACCTATAATTCCAGCACTTTGAAAGACTGAGATAGGAGGATCACTTGAGTCCAGGAGTTTGAGACCAGCCAGGGCAACAGAGAAAGAAGATGTCTCTACAAAAAATAAAAAAGTTAGTTGGGTGTGTAGTGCACCTGTGGTCCCAGCTACGTGGGAAGCTGAGGTGAGAAGATCACTTGAACCCAAGAGATCAAGGCTGCAGTGAACCATGATTGTGTCATCGCACTCCAGGATGAGACTCTATCTCAATTAAAAAACAAAAAAATCTATCAGAAACTCACATTAAATGTAAAGATGCAAGTCAGTTAAAGCAAAAGGAAAAAAGATAGCCCAAAAGACTTGTATAAAATTCTATCACTTTTAGGAGAAAATATTTGTGAACCAGAATTAGTCAAAGATTTCTCAGATATGATATCAAAAGCGTGATCCATAAAAATGTAATAATTAGACTCTGCCAAAATAAAAACTTTTGCTATTTAATGGATACTTCAGAATGAAAAAAACAAGCTACATACTTAGAGGAAAAAAATGTGCAAATCACATATCCAACAAAGAACTTGTAGTCAAAATCTATATATAAAGTATTCTCAAAACTCAATAGCAAGAAAACAAATGAGCTAACTTAAAAAATGGGTAAGACTTGGGAGGCTGAGGCAGGCGGATCATGAGGTCAGGAGTTGAAGACCAGCCTGCCCAACATGGTGAAACCCTGTCTCTACTAAAAATACAAAAATTAGCTGATGTGGTGGCATGCGCCTGTAATCCCAGCTACTCAGGAGGCTGAGGCAGAACAATCTCTTGAACCCGGGAGGTGGAGGGAGGTTGCAGTGAGCTGAGATCGCACCACTGCACTCCAGCCTGGGCGACAGAGTGAGACTCCATCTCAAAAAAAAAAAACAAAACAAAAAAAAAAGGGTTAAGACTTGAAAAGATACTTTTCCAAAGAGGATATATGGAGGCAATTAAGTTTGTGGAAAAAAAAACCGTTCAACATCATTACCCATTAAGAAAATGCAAAATAAGGCCAAGTGCAGTGGCTCACACCTGTAATCCCAACACTTTGGGGTGCCGAGGTGGGTGGATCACATGAGGTCAGGAGTTCAAGACCAGTCTGGCCAACATGGTGAAACCCCATCTTTACTAAAAATACAAATAATTAGCTGGGTGTGGTGGTGGGCACCTGTAATTCCAGCTACTCGGGAAGTGAAGCAGGAGAATCACCTGAACCCTGGAGGCAGAGGATGCAGTGAGTTGAGACTGTGCCATTGCACTCCAGCCTGGGCAACAAGAGCAAAACTCCATCTCAAAAAAAAAAAAAAAAAAAAGGCAAAATAAAACTACAATGAGATGCCCTACAATCCCATTAAAATGGCAAAAATAAAATGACAAACTTGAGATTTATAAAAATTAAGATTGTGCTGAAACTGCTCAAATTGGACAGAAATAATATATTCAGAATACTGAGTTTAAATGTCCTAATATTTAATGAAATATAAATTAGAGTAAGACAGTTTCTATCTACTAGACTTGCAAAGATTACAAATGACATTGATGGCAAGATAATGGAGTGAGGTTCAAACTGCTTCAATCTTCTTGGAAGGCAAATTGCAATCCATCCAACCATATAATTTTGTGTATTTTTTTTTCATCCAGCAACTGCTTTTCTAGAAATTGAAGGCAGCTATTCTTACATATCATATGCTGTATAAGCATGTTTACTGTAGCACTGAAGATAATTTAAAAAAATATATCTAAGTATCTATGTTGGAGACAGCTTAAACCAAGTATGGTACATTCATAAAATTACAATGCAGCCATTAAAAAGGCAGAACTGGCCGGGCACGGTGGCTCATCCTGTAATCCCAGCACTTTGGGAGGCTGAGGCAGGCAGATCACGAGGTCAAGACATCAAGACCATCCTGCCCAACATGGTGAAACCGTGTCTCTACTAAAAACACAAAAAATTAGCTGGACGTGGTGGAGCGTGCCTGTAGTCCCAGCTACTCGGGAGGCTGAGGCAGGAGAATCGCTTGAACCCAGGAGGCAGAGGTTGCAGTCAGCCGAGATCATGCCACTGCACTCATTCCAGCCTGGTGACAGAGTGAGACTCCAGCTCAAAAAAAAAAAAAAAAAAGGCAGAACTATAGGCATGAATAGGGTAAAAAATCAAGTTCCAGTTCTTTTAGGGATCCTATGATGGAGAAAATAAGTTTCCATATGGGGCAGATAATTTATATTTACTTCAAAAACTGATATTAGTGTTGCTATAATTTGGGAAGAAGGAGACAGAAAACAAACTGTATTGTAAAAACATGGAGGATTCTCAAAGGAATTGTGCTGAGTGAAAGAAACCAGTTTTAAAAGGTCAAGTTTTATAGGATTCCATTTACATAACATTCTGGAATAAGGCAAAACAGTAGTGAATGGGAACAGATCAGTGGATCCCAAGTGTTAGGGACAGAGGGAAGATGTGACACCATGAGGGAGGCTTTATTTATTTATTTGTTTGTTTATTTATTTATCTCAGGGGACAGAACTACTCTGTATCCTGACTGTGATAGTGGTTACATGAATATATACTTGGGTTAAAACAGAACTGTACACCAGAAAAGATGGAAATGTGAATTTTACTGTATATTAATTTTTAAAAGAAGAATGATTTACATTGCATACTGTTTTAGAGGCTATTTTGCTTTTCCCCTAGAAAGCCTAAACTTGGAATCTGTATTTTTTATTACTAAAGCCTTTGTTCTCATTTATTTCTGATTTAAAGACAATTAGTCTGTTAAGTAAAAGTGATTAAGAAGCATATTGTTTTTGACATCCACAATACATTATTACTATAAATCTTTCTTTTTGAGAATGAGGATCGAGTTTTTCACTCTCTAGATAGGGCATGAAGAAAACTCATCTTTCCAGCTTTAAAATAACAATCAAATCTCTTATGCTATATCATATTTTAAGTTAAACTAATGAGTCACTGGCTTATCTTCTCCTGAAGGAAATCTGTTCATTCTTCTCATTCATATAGTTATATCAAGTACTACCTTGCATATTGAGAGGTTTTTCTTCTCTATTTACACATATATTTCCATGTGAATTTGTATCAAACCTTTATTTTCATGCAAACTAGAAATAATGTTTTCTTTTGCATAAGAGAAGAGAACAATATAAGCATTACAAAACTGCTCAAATTGTTTGTTAAGTTATACATTATAATTAGTTTGGCAGAGCTAATACAAATCACATTTACAGACAAACAATAATAAAACTGAAGTACCAGTTAAATATCCAAAATAATTAAAGGAATCATTTTTAGCCTGGTATAATTAGCTAATTCACTTTACAAGCATTTATTAAAATGAATTCACATGTTATTATTCCATAGGTAGTTACACAATAGTGTTTATACAGGAAAAAATAATGAACCAAACTCTTTGTATCCAGCACTCCACAATTAAAACAAAGACTCCCCAAGTAATATCAATCTAGGATAGACTAATTAAGTTTGGTTTGATAACCATTCATTTCTTCTATTGCCTCTGAGCAAATTGTTTATTAGAGAAAGTTATTTTACACAAATCAAATCAAACTGGGTAAACCATTATATTTGAGGGAAACTTTAGCCATCAGTCAATTAATCCATCATTTTCTCCAGACACTATTGTTTAACGAGCAGATCATATTATCAACAATTTAGATATCATGTGATTCAATTATAACAGTAAATTTATTGACAGTTTCTCTAATATTTTTATTATGAGTAAATTTGGAATTCTCTTTACCTTTGTGAGCAAAGCAAAACCAATTTGAATATTATAGTCAAAGATCAAATAAATTAAAATTCTCTACAAAATTTAAGATGGTTTGAAAAAATGTTATTATTACAAAAGCAAAAATAAGGCTTAATGAATTAAAATTGCTAATAAGGTAAAATAAGTTTCCAACATAAAAAATTCTTCCTTATTCTTTAATATGCTGAAATATATATGACTTTAATGTTATATTAAAATTCATTTTAAGAAAAGCCTTGTGAAAAAAAATTAATTTGTACTCATAAACAATACAATCTGTTAAAGCTGAAAAATTCAGATTTCTAGTTCTTTAAGAATACAGATTTCACCGGGGGCATTAAAATTAAAATGTAATATATATTAATACTCATAGGCACCAGGGGAAAGAAAGCAACTAATACCTTTCTACACGTTTAGGAGATCATATTTAAGATCATAATAGTGCAACAGGATTGATTTCTAGTTCTTAGTAGGAAATACATGTGTGTGTAATTTGCCAGTTCACCAAATTAGATGAAATGTCAAACAGGCACTTTTATTTTAAATGTAAGGATTTTAAAATAGATCCTTTCTATTTGCCTCTGTATAAGTTTAGATCTTATAGTGCAAAACAATTTATTAATACTTTGATAGATTGTCTCTAATAGTTTCATGTTGGCTAGTTTTATCTCACCAATCTGAGTTTAAATCTCTTAGAGTTCCAAACCATGGCTTAAGACTTTTTCTTTATCTCATAGCAGAAAAGTTCTAGACTCTTCATTGAAGGTCAATAAATATTATCAGAACCATAGAATGGCAGGTGCCAGGAGCTTCTGCTTACCCTAGTCCAACTCCCTCTAGTTACATACATATAAAGAAATTGAGAATTGGAAGTGTCTGACCCCACATCACACATCTAATTATCAGTGTCAATTAGACAAACATGTTCACTAATAATAACTTTTATATGCAATAAATATATTCCTGTTTACTGTTGGCTAGCCTATGTGATCTAACAATGACACTGAGGCAGTGTCATCTAACACCCAAATGAATGGCATATGGCCTATGAATTACAAATTCCTACATATGTCCACAGTTCTCAAAATGCACTCCTTAGAGGCTTAGGATGCCAGAGAGACACCCCAAGGGCACCACAGAGAGAGTAAGAACTGAACCATTGGAACATCTGGCTTCTTGCAACCCCACATCCTCATTTCAGTCTGAGCCATTTGCTTCTATGTAAAATTTCATTTGAAGAAACAGTTCCACTGATTGTAAACCAGTTTGAAACCACTATTTTATCCTATGTATGTTCCTGGAATCTTCGGAATAAAATATTTTAAATAAAAATAAAAAGATCCTAGGTTTTCTTAAAGAAGAATACTTCATTTTACATATTTGTCTCAAAAAGAATTACTGATTACAAAAGTAATTCAAGGAATATCTGCATGAAAATACTGTAGTCAGTCACTTGATACAGGTCAATATTTGCACAGTATAAACTGTTTAAGTACAGGAAAGTAGTCATCAATCAATACACACCATCAGCTATATCTCTTTTTTCTGAAGTTATCCCATATTCATCCACTTTTGTGCCCACTAAGTACAATCTTATTTATTTTTAATCAAATTACTTTATATTTTAGAAGATACTGCAGAAAATACTTTATGAAATGATTTATCCAAGTGTCTGTAATATATACTCCCTCTGTACAAAGCACAAATTTAAGAGTAGGAGCCTATCCGTAAACCTGATTGTCCTGACAAAAAGATGATGACCCCCCCTAGAGTGGGTTATTACAATCATTAAATGGGTCTTAGAAAACATTTGGCACACTATAGTTTTACATGTTTTTGATTTATAGTTATAATTAAGAAAAGCAATGCAAAAAGGACACTAGTTAGAACCTTTTAATCCAAAGATGATTCAAATGTGAGTGCTACTGTAATATAAATCTATTCTTGATGTTCCCAATCATCCTCAAAATATAAGTAAAAGGAAAATTTCCTCTTTGATGCAAACAACACACCAGCATTAATTAATCATCTCTTTCACCACATATATTTCCCTAACACTGAAAACAAGCATATTTAAATGTAGCCATGACGTACAAAAGCCATGCACTATATAATGACATGTTGGTCAACAATTGGCTGCATCTAAGATGGTGATCCCTTAGGATTACATGGAGTTGAAAAATTCCTATCATATGGTTAGGATAGGACCTAATTATATTGTTAGTTCCTATATAGTTAACTATATATAACTATATAGTTAGGTCCTATCCTAACTACATGATAGGAATTTTTATAGTTAGTTGTGTCTTGCTGATCCTGACCCTGTATAGGCCTAGGATCTATGAAAAATATAAGTGTATTTTTCAATAGCAAAGACATGGAATCAACCCTAATGCCCATCAATGATAGACTGGATAAAGAAAATGTGGTACATATATATCATAGAATACTATGTAGCCATGAAAAAGAATGAGATCATGTCCTTTGCAGGGACATGGATAGAGCTGGAAGCCATTATCCTCAGCAAACTAACACAGGTACAGAAGACTAAACACCACATATTCTCACTTATAAGTGGGAGCAGAATAATGAGAACACATGGACACAGGGAGGAGAACGATGCATACCAGGGCCTGTCGGGGGTGCAGTGGGAGGGAGAGCATCAGGATAAATAGCTAATGCATGTGGGACTTAATACCTAGGTGATGGGTTGATAGGTGCAGCAAACCACCATCGCACACATTTACCTCTGTAACAAACCTGTACATCTTGCACATGTATCCCAGAACTTAAAATAATATTAAATTTAAAAAAAAGTGTATTTTTTACTGTGCCTTTTCTATGATTAGATACATAAGTACTTACCATTGTGTTACAATTGTTTACAGTATTCAGTATAGTAACATGCTGTACAGGTTTGTAGCCTAGGAGCAATAGGCTATACCACGCAGCCTAGGTGTGTAGTAGGCTATACCATCCAGGTTTGTGTAAGAACAGTTCCTGACGTTTCCACAACAACAAAATTGCCTAAAAGGACATTTCTTAGAACATACTCTTGTTGTTAAGTGATGTGTGACTGTACTTCAAGAAATAATTTCAACTAGGATATTACAGGACTTCCTTCAAAATACATAAATTATGTATATTTTGTATTTATCACAAGTTGGTGGTGGTAGCTTGGTTTCTTTGTTTTGGGAGATTGTTATTTTGTGCCCTGAGATGATCAAAAACAATGAGGAATCACAATATAAATGAAGAAAATGAGTGCTATCAATTACTGCTTAATAGTAATAATAAATAAATAACAAATAATTAATAACATGACCCCCAATTTTTACAGTAGCTTTCCCACCCTCTCTCTTGCATCACTCACTTTGGGGAAATTAGCTGCCATATCATGGGGACAATCAAGCAGCCCTATGGAGGGCTTCATGTGGCAAGGAGGTGAGGCCTCCTGTCAACAACAGGCTAGAACTGATGAGGCCTTCTGTTAACAGTTACGTGAGCAAGCCATTCTGCAAGCTGACCTTCCAACCCCAGTCAAGTTTTCAGAATTTTCAGCCCTGGATCAACATTTCGACTGAAACCTCATAAAAGACCTTAAGTGAGAATTACTCAGCTAAGCCATTCCGAAATTCCTGTGCCTCAGGAAGTCTGTGAAATAGAATATGATTTTTCCTAAAACTTCTAAGTTTAGGGGTAATTTGTTCTGCGGCAATAGATAACTAATGCAGAATGCAGCGAGGAAGAATTCCTTCTTCACTAGTTTCCTCTTCTCTGTTTCAAAAGTTAACTTTTTACATTTTTAACTTATTCCCTCTCTTTGAACCTCAAGCTTCTCCTAAGGTCTTCTTTTCTACCTCAGTTTTACCATGTTTGGGACCTCTGCTCCATCTTCTCCCTGGGAAGAAGGCAACTGGTTCTCAAAACTTTTTTTCAATTCAAGGACCCCTTCTACAGGATTAAAATCCCCAAAACTTCATATCTCACCTATTTCCACTTGTCAGCAACCTAAATAAATAAACGAACAAGACTTCACAAACTTTAGCAGACTCATATACTACATTGGAAGAGCCAGTAAATTAAATAATATGTTTTTACTGAGTGCTAGAAATAAATGGAAAACCTATTTATGCCAGCAGTAAAAACAAAGACATTTTGCAACTAAAAGCTCTAAAATTATTTAAGAAAGTCCCTGGCTCTGACTCTGAGACTTTCTGTCATATCTTATCAAGAACAAAAATCAAAAGCTTTTTCCCCATCTATTGAAATGATTATATGGTTTTTCATTCTGTTTAAGTGGTGAATCACATTTATTGATTTGCATTATGTTGAAACAACCTTGCATCCCAGGAATGAAGTCTACTTGATTATGGTGAACTAACGTTTTGATATGATGCTAGATGTGGATTGCTAGTATTTTTGGGGGGATTTTTTTTGTCCACGTTCATCAGAGATACTGGCCTGTAGTTTTTTTTGTCGTGTCCTTGCCAGATTTTGGTACCAGGCTGATGCTGGCTTCACGGAATGAGTTAGGGAGGAGCACTTCCTCCTCGATTTTTTGGAATAGTTTCGGTAGAGTTTGTACCAGCTCTTCTATGTACATGTGGTAGAATTTGGCTGTGAATCCATCTGATCTGCGGCTTTTATTGGTTGGTAGGTTTTTATTACTGATTCAATTTCAAATGTCAATATTGGTCTGTTCGGGGCTTCAATTTCTTCCTGATTCAAACTTGGAAGGTTTTGTTTCCAGGAATTAGTCCATTTCCTCTAGATTTTCTAAGTTTGTGTGAACAGGGGTGTTCATAATAGTCTCTGAGAATCCTTTGTATTTTTCCGGGATCAGATGTAATGTCACCTTTGTCATTTCTGATTGTACTTATTTGGATCTTCTCTCTTTTTTCTTTCTTAGTCTAGCTAGCAGTCTATCAAATCAACAAAACAAATATTGACAAATGGGAACTAATTAAAGAGTTTCTACACAGCAAAAGTAACCATCAACAAACAGACAATCTATAAACCGGGAGGAAATATTTGTAAACTATGCATCCAACAAAGGTCTAATATCCAGAATCTATTAGGAACTTAATTCAATAAGCAAAAAAACAAAAACAAATACATCTCATTAAAAAAAATAGACAAAAGACATGAACAGACACTTTTCAGAAGAAGACATACAGGTGGCAACAAGGATATGAAAAAAATGTTCAACATCACTAATCATCAGAGAGAAGCAAATCAAAACCATGTCACACCAGTCAGAATAGTTATTATTAAAAAGCAAAAAAAAAAAAAAAAAACCAACAACAGAAGCTAGCAAGGCTATAGAGAAAAAGGAACTCTTACACACTGTTGGTAGGAAGATAAATTAGTTCAGGCACTGTCTCCACAGTCTGGAGATTTCTCAAGGAACTTAAATCAGAACTACCATTGGACCTAGCAATCCCATTACTGGGTATATAACCAAAAGAAAAGAAATCATTTTACTAAAAAGACACATACACTTGCATGTTCATCACAGCACTATTCACAAAAGCAAAGACATAGAATTAATCTAGGTGCCCATAAATGGTGGAATGGATAAAGAAAATGTGGTACATCCTGGCAAAGACACAATGAAAAAAGAAAACTACAAGTCAATACCCATGATGAACATAGACACAAAAATCCTCGACAATATACAAGCAAACTGAATCCAGCAGCACATCAACAATTAATTCACCAGGAACAAGTAAGCTTCATTCCTGGGAAGCAAAGTTGGTTCAACATATGCAAATCAATAAATATGATTCACCATGTAAACAAATCATCTCAATAGATGTGGAAAAAACTTTCAATAAAACCATCTCAATAGATGTGGAAAAAACTTTCAATAAAATCCAACTTACCATTATGATAAAAACCCTCAATAAACTAGGCATCAAAGGATCATACCTCAAAATAATAAAAGCCATCTATGACAAACCCATACCCGACATGATACAGAATGGGCAAAAGCTGGAAGCATTCCCCTTGAGAACTGGAACAAGACAAGGATGCCCACTTTCACCACCCTATTCAACATAGTACTGGAAGCCCTCGCCACAGCATTCAGGCAAGAGAATGAAATAAAAGGCATGCAAATAGGAAAAGAAGTCAAACTATCTCTCTTGGCCAACAATATGATTGTATACCTGAAAAAAACCCTTAAGTCTGTCAAAAGGCTCCTAGAACTGATAAACAACTTCAGTAAAGTTTCAGGATACAAAAATTAATGTACAAAAAGTTACTAGCATTTCTATATACCAATAATATTGAAGCTGAGAGACAAATCAAGAATAAAATCACATTTATAATTGCTGTGCACGTGCACACACACACACACACACACACACACACACACAATACCTAAGAATACATCTAAACAAAAAGGTAAAGATTTCTACAAGGAGAATTCCAAAACACTGTTGAAAGAAATCAGATGACACAAACAAATGGAGAAACATTGCATGCTCATGGATTGGAGGAATCAATATTGTTAAAATGGCCACACTGTCCAAAGCAATCTATAGATTCAACACTATTCCTATCAAACTACCATGCCATTTTTTCACAGAAGTAAAAAAAAACTATTCTAAAATTCATACAGAACAGAAAGAGCCTGAATAGCCAAAGCAATCCTGAACAAAAAGAACAAATCTGGAGGCATTCATCACATTACCCAACTTCAAACTACACTATAAGGCTACAGTAACCAAAACAGCATGTTAATGGTACAAAAACAGATGCATAGACCAATGGAACAGAATAGAGGAGCCAGAAGTAAAGCTACACACCTACAGACATCTGATCTTCAACAAGGTCAACAAAACTAAGCAATCGGGAAAGGACTTCCTATTGAATAAGTGGTTCTGGGATAGTTGGCTAGCTATATGTAGCTGTATATACCATATACAAAAATTAACTCGACCGATTAACAGATTTTAATATAAGACCTCAAACTATAAGAATCCTAGAAGAAAACCTAGGAAACATCATTCTGGACATCAGTCATGGGAAAGAATTTATGTTTATGTCCTCATAAGCAATTGTAACAGAAACAACAACTGACAAATGGAACCTAATGAAACTATAGAGCTTCTGCACAGCAAAAGAAACTATCAACAGAATAAATAGACAATCTACAGAATGAGAGAAAAACCTATACATACAACAGAAGTCTAATATCCAAACTTTATGACAAATGTAAACAATTCAGCAAGCAAAAAACAGCTCCATTAAAATGCGGGCAAAGGACATGAATCAACACTTCTCAAAAGAAGACATATAAGCAGCCAACAAACACATGAAACAATACTCCACATCACTAACCATCAGAGAAATGAAAATCAAAATTACAGTAAGATACCATTGCATACCAGTCAGGATGGCTATTATTAAAAAGTCAAAAAAGAAAAAAAAACAATAGATGCTGGCAAAGCTGCAGAGATAAGGGAACGCTTATACACTGTTGGGGGGGAACATGTATTAATTCAGCTACTGTGGAAAGTACCTTGGGATTTCTCAAAGAACTTGAAATAGAACTACCATTTGGCCCAGCAATCCTATTACTGGGCATATATCCAAAAGAAAATGAATTGTTCTATCAAAAAAACACATGTACTCATATGTTCACTGCAGCACTATCCACAATAGCAATGATGTGGAATCAATCTAGATGTTCATCAATGATGGACTGGGTAAAGAAAATATAGTACATATACACCATGGAATACCACACAGCCATAAAAAAGAATGAAATCATGTCCTCTGCAGTAACATGGATGCAGCTGGAGGCCATTATCCTAAACAAATCAACACAGGAACAGAAAAACAAATACCACATGTTATTACTTGCAAGTGGTAGCTAAATAGTGGGTACCCACGGACATACAGATGGCAACAAGAGACACAGCGGACTGCTAGAGGGAGAAAGGGTTGAAAAACTAACTATGGGTAGTATGCTCACTTCCAGGGTGATGGGTTCAGTCATACTCCAAACCTCAGCATCATGCAATATACCCATGTAATAAACCTGCATATGTACCCCTGACATCTAAAAATAAATGCTGAAATTATAAAGAAAAAGATAGAAAATTGTAAGAACAAAAGGAAAAAGTAGCATATATACACCATAGACTACTATGCAACCATAAAAAAGAAGGAAATTGTGACCTCTGCAGCAACATGGATGCAGATGGAGGCCATTATCTTAAGTGAATTAACACAGGAAAAGAAAACCAAATATCGCATGTTATCACTTATAAGTGGGAGCTAAAAATTGAGTACTCATGGACATAAAGACAGCAACAAGAGACACTGGGGAGAGGCACAGAGGTGGCTCACACCTGTAATCCTAGCACTTTGGGAGGCCAAGGTGGCTGGACCACTTGAGGCCAGGAGTTCGACACCAGCTTGGCCAATAAAATAGCTTGAATATTTTGTTGTATTTTGTAAAAATACAAAAATTAGCTGGGCATGGAAGAACACACCTACAGTCCCAGCTACTTGGGAGGCTGAGGCACAAGAACTGCTTAAGACTGGGAGGTGGAGATTTAGTAAGCTGAGATCACAACACTGCACTTCAGCCTTGGCAAGAGGGCAAGACTCTGTCTCAAAGAAAGAAAGAAAGAAAAGAAAACCTACTGGGTACTATGCTCTCTACCTTGGTAACGGGTTGTAGTGTATCCCAAACCTCAGCATTATACAGTATACCCATGGAACAAACCTGCACACATATCCTGAATCTAAAATAAAAGTTGAAATTACTTAAAAAAAAAAAAAAAAAAACAAAAAAAGAAACAAACAGTGCAAACAATGGCTAAAAGTTCAGAATCTGGGCTACACTTTCTGAATTTGATTCCTGGCTTTAGCACCTATCAGCTTATAAGCCACTGGGTAAATGCCTCAGTGTTCTCATCTGCAAAATGGGGAAGATAATAAAGCCTGTATCATTAAAAAAAAAAACCCTAAAAAACAAAACAAAAAAAAACTCTAGACCTCCACAAAAGATACATGATCGGGTTAACATGTTCAAGCATATTTAAATACTTAAAAAACAAGGTCATATCCAATATATTAAGAAAGATATTAGAAGCATCATTTGACTTAGAACCACCTCTCTAATAGCAAAAACCTAACTACACAGAAAGACTTTAATGTTATTAAATTCATTTAAAAAATTACTAAGGTATCATGTTTAATTTCTTATGTTTCCCCCTTTATCTGCTGAGCCATAGCAGTCTTGCTGTTCTGCATACATATCAAATATGCTTCTCTCTCAGAACACTTACATTCACTGTTCCTGGGATATTTTTTTACCATAGATAAATATCTTGGCTTGTCCTGCACTTTATTTAGATTTTTCCTTAAATGCCATCTTATCAGAAAGGCCTTCTACAAAAAATCATATATATAACAACCCCATCTAGCATTTCTTATACTTATAATTTCATTTTATTTTTCTTCTTAGCACTTACTCTTTTTTAATTTTCTTATTTTTTATTTATAGCCATATGTCCAACCTATTAAGAAAAAAAAACCAAACCTGTGGTGGCTCATGCCTATGGTCCCAGTTCTCAGGAGGCTGAGGCAGGAGGGTCACTTGAGCCTGGAGGTTGAAGCTGCCAGGAGCCGTGAGCCATGATGGCAACACTGCACTCCAGCCTGGGAAACAGAGTGAGACCTTGTCTCAAAAAAACAAAGAAAGAAAAAAACCTTTAATTTATTCATCTTCTCTCTTTTTCCCCCAAAAGATGCTGGGCAGGAAAAAGTCATAGAGTATTTTAAAGATTTAATATGCACATTTCTCTAACTTTGCCTCTCACTATTATTTCTGGCTTTCTGCTTTTGCACTGCATCTGTTTTTAACATGGAAGGTGCTCCCATGAAGTGATGAAATGAACCGAGTCACAAAAACATTCATGTAATTCAAAGTGGCTATATACTCTGGCAAGCATGGAAAGAAGTTGGTTGATTAGGATGTTTTACAGTTTTCTTCATTGAAGAATATACCAGGTAGAGTTGGCTGGGGCATCATTTAGGCATAGTCCCCTCAGCCAATTCTAAGCTTTCCTTTTATGCAGCATGTCTCATTGCAGTTCTTTGGTAAGCAAGCATTCAGGTTTTATACCACTACAACTACAGTATGTGTTATAAATAAAATATATGCTTTACAAAGGGGGTGGTAATTACATATGATAACCCTAAGAGTAATGTGTAAGTGGCTTGTAATTACAACCTGGGACCAAGCTGTCCTCTTTGGAAGAATATGTTGCCTTTTCTAAGTTAACAAGAGGTTACTATTGCTTTGGCAAAGTATTTATACATAAAGTGTTTCATAATCATGAACATATGCTAATTTCTGGCTTTCATTTTATATTATTTGATATTTATTCATTCATTTATTATTATTTTTTAGAGACAGGTCTCACTCTTGCCCAGGCTGGGCTGCAGTGGCCCCATCAGGGTTCACTAGAGCCTCAAACTCCTGGGCTCAAATGATCCTCCTGTTTCAGTCTCCTGAGAAGCTGAGACTACAGGAATGCGCCACCATGCCCAGCTCTTATTTTATTTTTATTTTTAGCAGAGACAGAGCCTCACTATGTTGCCCAGATGGGTCATTGTTTGATATTTAAATTGTCGTGGTATCAAATCACAATGAGATTGAGATCAGAAAACCACTCTGCACTGAGAACTTTAAATCCATGCAATCTTATCTCCAAAGTCAGTACCCTGGGCTTTACACTGTTCATATTATGCTCTCAATGTTATAACTCATAAACAAGACTCAACAGAGAGTGAATGAACATATGCACAATTTAATAAGTTCTAATTATAGTGCCACTACCCTCCAGCCTGGGCAACAGTGAGATCTGTCTCTAAAAAATAACACTAAATAAATAAATAAAAATAATAATATAAAACAAAACCCAGAAATTAGCATATGTTCATGATTATAAAACACTTTACATATAAATTTTTAGCCAAAGCAACAATAACCTCTAAAGTTAGAAAAGGCAACATAGGCAACATATTCTTCCAAAGAGGACAGCATGGTCCCAGGTTATAACTACAGTAAGTTCTACTGTCGTAGGATTTTCTTCTTTAATATGGACGCAGTATATTTTTTCTATTTTCATCTTTGAAACATCAAAAGTCTTTTACAATCAGGCCCTAGACAGTTCCATATTTTAAATCTGTATTCATTGCTTAGAATATTGCTGCATTAATACATTTATTTCAACTGAAGAGCGTGAAGACCACTGGCCTATCCACACTGTAAACAAAATGTATAGTATGCTGAAAATAGCCTAAAGTTTAAAGCTTTCTACCTACCCTCAGAAATGGTAGGCTTAGTAGCAGTAAAACGTCTCATCTCACAACAGGAAAAACACAGATTCCAAGTCCAGTCCTAAGCATTCAAAGTGCATCAGGCCACAGACTTTGAAAGGATACAATTGGGGGTGGGGGTGGGGGTGAAAAAAATCTTTAGAAAATATTAAAAGGCTATGATTCATGTAATACATAAACAATAACCTGAGCATAACAAATATATTTGACCTTTAAAGTAATAAAAACAAATGTAAAAAGAGTCTCCAGTTTTCTATTACTGCCAAGTTTATTTTCCTCATAAGTTTCAACCCATTATGGTACAATAATCCCTCATTACTGTAGCACAATAATGCGCAGTCTCTACTCTACCTATAGTTGTCTTGTGTCTATTTAGTTTTATAGCAAGCAAGCAATTTGAGAATATGGTAATAAAGCCTCAATCACAGTAATGATGTATGATGGGCTGTAATTTCTCTGTGCTAATGGGTTACAAACAGTATTACAGTGATGACGGGAATCTCACTGATTCATTATATGACTGCAATAATATCAAAATGACTTAATATAGATCACTATTAAGTCATGCACATGTTACTAACAACCTCTATATTTCACTATACAGATATACAGGGGAATAAAATTAATATTAGTCTTCCTATATAAAAGTTCACACAGCACAAAACATTTTGTGTTGAGTCCTCTAAATCAATGTTTAAAGTTGGAATTACTGCATTGAACTGGTTCTTTGAAAAGAAAACCATTGATTTTAATCTGCTTGAAGCAATCAATTACTCCCTGTCCTCTTTATTCCAAACTGTAATGAAAACTAAACTGCGTTGTCTTGAAAACTAAATGTGAAGATGATCATAAACAGAATTTAAACTCCATGGATTATTCATATCTACCCATTTAGATTTGCCATTTCCATTATGAGTACATTTGCCATGAGCATTTAATGGACATCTAAAAGGGAATTCATTAAAGCAGGAGCTGTTGGCAGCACTTATGGGCTTCAGACTGCTTTATGCTTGCCTTTAATAGCTCACTATTATAAAAGTGATATATTGTGTTCATCCCATTAGTAGTCTGCAGGAAGGTCTGCAAGAGATAACAAATCCTTCTAAATATTTTCAGAACTGAAAGTAAATCACTATTTGTTTGTTTTAAGTGACATATTCTAAGAATATACAATTTTACTCGGTCAACTAAATTTAGTTGTTTCTAGCCAAATAAGACTTTGGCAATCATAGACACATTTTATAAAGTGGACGCCACCTTTCTGAAATATTCTGTGGCTATTAACTTGAGACATTAGTAGCCATCAGGCAATCTAACCAATGACATGAAGGTATGGTAGAGATAATAGTAGGATATACGTTTTTATGAGTTAATGGCAAGACACCACCAAAAGAAAAGCTAGGTGGAATATTTCTTCCTATACCATTACATGTTGCTACTACTCAGGAGGTATGAAAGGGTTATTTCTGGCATCTTGGATGCATTTAAAGAGCTTCTTAGATGAAATGGCATTCACTGGTCTTTTCTGTGTGTGTCCTACAGAGGCCAGAAAATGAACATGAAGAAATTTAAAACATGATTTCAATGTTAATGTTTATTACAGTAATGCAATCAAATCCTAACTGGAAAGGGAGAATGAAGAAAAGAAACCCCAATTTCAGCATATCATCTCCATAATGCCTGGCTCTAGGCTATGCTATATTCCAAACACAACATATTTTACTTAACAGGTAAAGCTTGTGGTGGGGTCAGCAGTATGCTCTTGTGTAAGAAAAGGCAGATCAATCCAACAACACATAGAATAGTCCGAAAGTCACATTTTTGATTTTGGAAATCATCGATTTCTTATTTTTCATAACAAATCTGCTTTTATAATTTTGTTTTGCTTACAGTAAGGTACAATCAGCTAGCATGTCCCTTAATACACACACCACATGTCTCTGAAATGCATTAACTGGTATAGAATGAAAATGCTATCACAGATAATCTAAATCTACATATTTAAAGCCTGTAAATCTTTGTGTAGATGATTAAGAGCTCATCCTGCTCTAATGTTTTAAAGACTAAAAACTGATCTTTTAAGTTTCCAAATTTTAGTTCATTCATATATTGAAACAGATGTTGTAATAATTACACTAACTATAAATATGGAAATGTTTAAAGTTCACATATGTGTCTACCTAAAAAACTACTGGTTACAAAAACATACAAGAAGGATAAAAGTAGGAAAAAAAGTAGGAAAGATTATTTAAAAATTCACAGTCTTAGAAATGTAAGCATTTCCAAAGCCAGTCAGATACAACCATCAAGCATCCTTTGTAGTCTGCTAATTTCTACAAAATTACAACCCTTTGAGGATGTAATTGACTTGCCCAGCCCAAGAGCATAATGGAAATCTGTGCTACTTCCTAAGTCTTTGAAACATGCCTACTGAGTTCATTACAATACAGATTCAAATATTTAATACACACTTTAATGTGGATGACATTCTTGGTTTAATGTTGAGATTTCTAAATATTTAAATTACTTTATATATTTATAAAATTGGGTTAGGATATGTTCACATACTCATACAATGCACATACAGGAACCTAATCATCTTAAAACACTTATGATCTAGTGGGAAATAATTTTCTACTAGAATCTGAAGCAGAATTAAATAAATGGCTTTTCTGTTCAAGAGAGATACCACTGGAGACATTTTAAAACACCCAATAAATATTTTGATTCTTCTGCACATATTACACAAACATAACGAGATAGAAACACAGGGTTTGTACCCAACAATTTCTAAGTCCATACTAACTTAGTTGTCCTAATATAGACTCAAGTAAATAACTACTTTATTTAGGTTCCAACAGTAACATGGTTCCAAATAATGAATGCTTTAAAAAGTTGCCTTTCCAGCCAAAGAAATGTTCTCTTGCTCAAAACTAGTATAGATGTTTTTGAATAATAAACACAAAACAATGTATCTCAAGAAGCCAACAGTATTCTTACAACCCATTTACCTTAATGGTTGGAAAAATTTCAGAGGAAGACAATCTCTCTTCTTCCTAGTGACCAGGAGTCATTACTGTAGCAAACTCACTGAAGTATATTAACTTCAGTTCATAACTTAAGAGTCACTTGGAAAATTAGCCAATAGGAGAAATAAATGCCCAATTTATTCATATCTGCTATGTGTGGGTGAAAGTCAGAGACAAGGTATATTAAAGTACTACTTCTGTTTTTTTCACAACCAAATGCACACAATGTCATTATCATGATGAAACAAATTAATGTTTTGTAAGACTTAAACTAATTTACTTAAAATGTCCACCTATAAAACAAATTTCACATAATGCCCAAGTGCATTTTGAAGGATTATAAATGTCAGAATACATGTAGATTTTTTTCCTCAAATAAAAAAATTTTTTTGAAAAATAAGAGGCTATTTTGTCCAGAAAATAGCCTCATAGCCACAGACCTAATTTACTTCCCAAGTTGTAAGATAGCATCAAGGTACAAAACTGGATTTCAATTAGCTATGACCACTTGCCTGAGGCACAATCAGAAGTTTCTTATTACTAGCATATAGAAGTGGGATACAGAACAGGAAAATTCTTGTCTCTGTCTTAGTCATTTTGACATTAAAGGAAAGAATTCATGGCAAGCCAACAAAGACCTCCGTGATGACCATGAGTGCAAATGTTAGCTCTAATATTCTCAATCAGCTTCTGGTTCCAAGCCATCTACAAACATAATCAAACGTTATTAAAATTACGAAGGTATAAGATCATATATTCTAGGCTGATTTTAAGTTGTTCTAAACTCTTACGCATAAAATAAAAATGAAGATAAGGATAAGTATTAAAATTGCAGCTAGAAATACCTATCTGTTTCAGTATTTTTCTCCCTCTCACCCCACACATATACTCCTTTTAAGAGTTCTGGAATTTAAGATGAACAAGTGTGTTGAAAATGATCACATTATACACAGAATGGAATCATTTAATAAGGTGATTAATCATCAATAGTTTAGGTGCATCCTAGAATAAATGAATAGATAAATTGTATTATCTCTCTGGGGACTAGGAAACTTTTAAAAAACTAAGGCTGACTGATGCTGAGTGAGTTCATGCCTGAGTATGACTTACCTGACCAGAAAAGAACTGGCTTAACATATAGACTGACTTGCCCTCACCTGGACCTTAGACTGTGATCCCTGGTTCAGATGATGATGAATCAGATCGTTCTCAAGGAAGAAGAAACCCGAGTTGGATAGGTTTGCCACAAGCCCTTCACAGGAAGATGTCTGTCTTCTGTGCAAGACAAAAAAGAAAAGAAAAAAAAGGTACAGTGGCAGTGGATGAATTCTCCTTTCTTAGGAGAGGGAAAAAAGGCAGGTTTGCACATTCTTCATTAGCTACTAGCTCTTCTCTGTATGCAAGCAAGGAAAGTCTCTGCAAAAGTTGGAAGAGACAAAGGTATCAAGGTATCAAAAGCCTAAAATTATCTTGGAATGGATATAATAATAAAGATGCTAACCACAATTGATCATGACATCTTACAAATCAATTCTGTGAAGATCAATAATCAAAAGATTGCTTTTTTGGACAAAATAATTAGTCCTAAAATATTTTTTTAAATGCTTAAGGTTAGATATGGAAGATGTCTACATTCAGCATCAGTCCAAATTAATAAATTATCTTCACATATTACAGCTATGCTAGCAGTGATTTATAAGAATATATATCTTACAGAGGTTAACTTATCTGGCATTCCAAACAACAGTGCCTAATATGTCTCTAAGGTGTTCCAATCAGGTTTTCCACTGGTATAAAAATGTCCTTATTGAAGTTTCCATATAAGATTCCTAAAAATGCGTTTCATCTCCAAAACTGATGATTTTTTTCTTTCAATATTAGAATCTATATTTTAAAATATAATGTGTCTTTCTTACACATATGAACAACATTAAATAGTATTAGGATTCTACAATGTCTATTCCACCCCCCATCAACACTATTAATTTTTTATTTTTAAATTAAAAATTTATTTAGTGCTTTTTTTTGTAGTGCCTTATAAATCTAGCATTAATTTAACTGTTTTCCTTCATGGGAAAGCCTGGAATTTCAATGTTATTGGTATGTATGGGTATCACTTAATTCTTATGTAAAAAATCAGTAAGCAAAAAATTCCATTTTACCTCAGTAAGATAATATGGTGAGATGATATGAAAAGCTAACAGATGATACTTTAATAAAGTACTCAAAATAAAACTGGTTGCAAAAGTTCAATAGCTACTCTAAAAATTTAATAGGCCAACTAATTAATAGCAGAAAAATTTACATGAAATTGAAATCACTTCCTCAATTCCAGTTCCCAATTCCCGTTCTACAAAATAACCAGGAAAAACTAGGTCTACTGGTCTCTGTTCTTACATACAGTTCAAGAGGTAAATAAAAAAGTTTATCATTGTGATAAAAATCACTATATTAGGCTACAAAGTTTAGTAGTTAAACTTAAGTGTAAAGACAATTATTATGAATTGTTATGCAAGCCCTGGTGACATTAATATTATTATTATTATTAATTATAATATGATCCTACTGGGGCTAGTTCAAATGCTTTACAGCCTCTTTTTAAATATACAAATCGATGAGTTTCTTATGAAGGCACGTTGCAAAACAAAAAATTTCAGAAAAAAGCTACAATACTATATGCAAATCTCACAAATAGAAAAAGTGACAAAGAGTTTAGTTCCACCAAACTATCATAGGTAATTCCACCTATATTAATACTTCAAAAGCATCATAAGGAGATAAGATGTTCCATGACAAAAATGAATCTGCCAATGCTGAAAGGACAAAAATTAATTCTTTAAGACACTGCTTTAAAGTAGCTGAATCTTTAACAATCTGGAACCACGCAGTAATAACAGAGTGAAATAAACTGCACTTTTTCAAAGCAATGCCTGATTTTATGTGATAAATTCATTAAAGAAACAATCTGTTAAACAATCCATTCAAGTTTTACTGCATGTTCTAAAGCAGAGGTCCCCAGTGTTTTTGGCACAAGGGACCAAATTTTTCCCTGGACGGATAGTGGGGGAGCTTCAGGATAAAACTGTCCCACCTCAGATCATAGGCATTAGAGTCTCATGAGGAGTCCGCAACCTAGATCTCTTGTGTGTGTTCCCAATAAGGTCCGTCCTCCTATGAGAATCTAATGCTGTCGCTGACAGGAGGTGGAGCTCAGGCAGTAATGTTTCTCACGCACCGCTCACCTCCTGCCATGTAGTCCAGGTCCTAACAGGTCACAAACCAGTACCAACCTGTGGCCTGGGGGTTGGGGATCCCTGTCCTAAAGTACAGAAAATATGAAGCATTCCAGTATTTAATTGAAATTTGTGAATAATTTCTCATCTCAGGGTCAAAACTTGTTAATGGCAATTAAGAAAAAAATTGTAAACCAGTTGTAACTTTTGGAAAACAATTCTACAGAATATCTTCAAAGATCCAAACCAAATTACTAAATTTCAATACTCCTTCACGATTTCACAGATGTTTGGTAATCTAAGAAACACTCACATTTCTACAATCATTGTGTGAATATAAATTATTAATTAATGAATATATAAGCTGGTATGTCTAGATACTAACTTTAAACTCTTCTGTTAAAGGAATGAAAAGGGGGAAAATATAGTGGGAGCCTTGTGATAAAATTAGAAATTGCAGGAGTTTTCGCAGTAACTATCTGGTTAGAAGGCGCAACATACAGTGGTAGAGTATAAGAGCATATAGAGAAAGATCAATTAGGTTTGAATCACGGCTCTGTCACTAACTGTGTACACTGAGCAAGTGAAATACCTTCTCTGAGCCTGTTTCCCCACATAAAAATGGGAATAAAATTAACTACATTGTAAGGGTGTTGTAAGGGTTAAAATAAGATTGTGTATGTAGCCTAGTGAACAGCAAGCACATGGGAGTTTCTCAATAAATGGCAGCTATTACAATTATTCTTTACCAAATTTCTCCCAAGCAATTTAAAAGCCTCCCAAAGAGAAATAATAAATTACAGGGGTTTTGTGATAATTAAAAGACATAATATACTCCTTTATTATTTCATTTCACAAATATTTAGTATCAGAAAATGTGCTTGGTGCTGTCGATGCAATGGCGAACAACACAGACACAAAGCCTTCTGTTATGGAGTTTACAGTTTTGTGAGGAAGACAAATAATTACATTAATTATAGTTGTGATTAATCACAGATGTAATAAGTGCACTTAAGACTAAGGATAGGCTGGGCACAGTGGCTCATGTCTGCAATCCCAGAACATTGGGAGACCGAGGCAGGAGGATCACTTGAGGCTAGGAGTTCAAGACATGGCTGGACAACATAGCAAGATCTTGTCTTTACAAAAAAATGTACTGAAAACAACAACAACAACAATTACTTGGGCATGTACCTGTAGTCCCAGCTACTTGGGAGGCTTTGGCACAGAGAATTGCTTAAACTCAGGAATTCAGGGCTGCAGTGAGCTACGATCACATCACTGCACTCCAGCCTGGGTAACAGTGATATTCTGTCTCAAAAAAAAAAGAAAAAAAGAAAAAAAAAAGGACTAAGGACAAAATAATATGAGAACCTAAGAGGAGGGAGTGAGGGTGAGGGAAGGCTGCCTAGAGAAAACAGGAATTAAGTAAGCAAAGAAGAAAGAAAACAGCCATTCCATGCAAGAAAGAAACAATACATGCAAAGACCCTAATAAAACATTTGGAGAATTGAGGAAGTAAAAGAATGCCAGATTACCTAGAAAAAGGAAAATGGTATAGCATAAAGCTAGGGAGGACAGTTTCTTCAGTGGACTCTATAAACCATGGAAAAGACTTTGATCTTTATCCTAAAAACACTGGGAAGCCACTGATTTTCATTTACAGTAACTCTGGCTATGGTGTCCAATGAACCACTTTGAGAATGGATATGTGGAGACAAACAGGAAGTTACCACAGAGGTCATGGAAAGGCAGCTTGGACTAGGAATATAGAAGCACAGAAAGAACTATAAACAATCAAATACATAGAAGGGGGAATTTTGAAAGGTCTTAATGACTGATTGGTTACACTGATGAATTCCAGAGTACTGACATAAGCAATAGATGCCATTTACTGAAAGAGAGAAATATAAAGGTAAAGCAGCTTTTTCAGAGGATATCATGAATTCTGTTTATAACCTATTGAATTTAGATTGATGAATGTCATGTAGATAGTTGGAGACATAGGTTTAAAATTCAGAAGACAGGCCTAGCTAGAGATATGTATTTGGAAGTCATGAGGAAATAGACAGTAATTGAAGACACAGGAGTGCATGATGCTATTTAAGAAAAAAAAAAGGGAGAAGACAGACATGAAACCTAGCCCTAATATACTGTAACACTAAAGATCAGATTCAGGAAAATTATTAGACTAAAGAAGCTGAGGAAGAAGTTGCTACAGAGATTAGAAAATAAAACAAAAGAACATGGTATCAGACAAGCTAAGAAAAAGAAGAAACGATTTCTAGAAGGAGTAAGTGGTTGATTATGTTGAATAAGGATAGAAAGTATATACCAGGTTTATAAGTAATGTAGTCAGTGGTGATCTCAGCTCAATCAGCAAGTGGTGTGCTTCTTTTATGTTAAGGATTGGCAATTTTTTTCTGAAAAGACCAGATAGTAAATATTTTAGGCTTATGGTCCAACTACTCAACTTTCCCATTATTGTTACAAAGCAGCTATAGACAATATGTAAAAGAATGACTGTGGCTGTATTCCCATAAAACCTTATTTACAAAACAGACACTGGCCCTCAGACCACAGTCTGTCAATTCCTGTTTTTTATTACAAGGCTAAAGTCAAATATTACCACCTCAGCAATTTCATGTTTTTCCTATTTAAAGTATACTCTTTCCCCCATTACTCTATCATACCACCCTGCAGTACTGTCTTCACAGATTCTCTATTATCTTAAATTACCTTTTTGATTTGCAGTTATTAAATGTTTCTGATTCCAATGGAATGCAAATTTCATGACACTAGAGACCAAGCCTATACAGTTAATGTTTTTATAATTCTAGCATCTAAAGAAGGAATGTCGTTCCTAGTGGATTCAATGAATATTTATTTTTTAACTTTCTGAAATAAAGAACATGTTATTCTAGCTATGATACAGTAACAGGGTCCAGATTTACTCTCTTGATTTTTGCAACAACAAAAAACTGGATTAAATATATGAAGTAACACTTTTGATCCAAGAGCAAACAGCCAGTGAAGGACTAGAATGTATGAGACAGAAAATAAGGTGAGCATTCCAAACTACAGAGAAAAAGGCAGGATCCTAAGTAAAGTACAGAAATTTCACTGAGTTGAGAAGACAGAGATAAGAGTTCAGAGTCTAAGGTAACTTGTTCTTTCAGGGTAGAGTTCTGGAATTGTCACAGACTTCTTGTCAGAAACTATGAAAGCCAGATGACAGTGGAATACACTTTTAAATAGCTGAAAGAAAAACAAAATGCCAAACTGGAATTTTATACCCAGTGAAAATGTCTTTCAAAATTAAGGAGAAAATAAATTTTTCACCTAGAAAAAAAGTAGATGAGAGAATCCATTTTCATCAAATCTGTACTATATGTTAAAGAGTTTTTCAAATAGAAAATAAAAAGGATATCACATCAAAATTTAGATCTATACAAAGAAAAGAAGTGTAAATAGCACACATGTGACAAAAATTTTCCTCTCACTGTTCAATTTCTTAATAGGCAATTAAAAAATAATAATGTTTTGACAGGTTTGATGTAGATGTAAAATCTATAAGAACAATAGTACAAAGGACAGAAATATAAAAGTTATAAAAGTCTTACATTAGAAGTGAAGTACTGTAATACCATTGAGGAAGTAGATAAAGATGCATATTGGGGGCAGGGCCAAGATGGCCGACTAGAAACAGAACAGCGGCGTTCAGAGGGTCCCATTAAAAAGAACTATAATAGGCATGTGAATCCTTCACTGGCAACCAAGGTATCCAGGTTCTCTCATCAGAACTGACTAGGAGACTAGTGTGATCCAGAGAGGAAGGAAGAACAATGTGGTGTAGTGGCCCATCTGAGCCACATGGGGCAGGGGAGCCCCCTCCCACCAGTGAAGGGAGGCAGTGAATGAGCATGCTACCCAGCAAGGGAAACTGTGCTTTTTCCACAGAACTGTGCAACCCATGGATTGGATGATCTCACTCACAAAACCACACCACTGGGGCTAGCATCCCAACCCCAGAGCCCTACAGATTGTCAACCGCCTCTCAGCTGGAATCTGCTTAAGCCTACCAAGCTCCCAGGGGGAGGGGCAACCAGCACCATAGCTGCGGTTGCCTGCTGTCTAAGCCATTTGAGCTCCTTGTGGGAGGCGTATGAAACAACACTGGGACTCACAACTGCCTAACACGCTAAGTTCCCTGGGCAGGAGAAGGCAGCATCCCTCTGTATAGCTCCAGGCTGCACTTTTCCCCTCCTGGGACCAGGGAGGCTGGAAGGCTTGGTACGAAGACATGTCTCCCACAGCCCAACACACCGGCTGTGGCAGACTGTGGTCAGAGTGCCTTTTCAGGCTTGACTCTGACCCATCCTTCCTCACTGGGTGGGGTTCCCCTGCAGGAACTCTGTAACTCCAGCCAGAGGGTCAGGGACAGAACCTAGATCTCCCTGGGCCTGAGCCCCTAGCGGGAAGGATGGCCACAGTCTTTGCGGACCAGCAGACTTAGCCTTTCCTCCTCGTAGTTCTGAGGAATCCAGGCAGCCCAGATGAGCGGGTTTCCCCCAGTGAAGCACACCCCACCACCAAGGGACAAAGTGCTTCATTAAATGGGTCCACATCCCTGTGCCACCCAACTGGGTGAGTCCCTCCAACAGGGGTTGGCAGATACCCAATACAGGAACAATCCTACGGGCATCAGGTTGGCGCCCCTCAAAGTCAAAGATCTGAGAAGGAGCAGGGACCCATCTTTCCTGTTCTCCAGCCTTGTTGAGTGACATCTCCAGGTATGGGAGTGAACCGGATGAAGAGGGCCTGAAGTGAACCCCCAGCAAACCCAGCAAACCTTACAGAAGCCCCAGCAAACCCTACAGAGGAGGGACCTGAATATTGAAACAAACAAACAAACAATGCAACAACAGGAGCATCAACAACAACAACAAAAAAGTCCACAGAAAAACCCCATTCAAGGGTTAGCAGCCTCAAAGATCAAAAGTAGACAAACTCACGAAGATGAGACAGAATCAATGAAAAAACACTGAAAATCTAAAAGGCCAGAGTGACTCTTCTCCAAATTATCGCAACATCTCACCAGCAAGGGTGCAGAACTGGATGAAGGATGACATGGATGAATTGACAGAAGTAGCCTTCAAAAGATGGGTAACAGAAAACTATGCTGAGCTAAAAGAGCATGTTCCAACTCAATGCAAAGAAGTTAAGAAACATGATAAAAGGTTAGAGGAGCTGCTAACTAGAATAACCAGTTTAGACAGGAACATAAATGACCTGATGGAGCTGAATAACACAGCAGGAGAACTTCGTGAAGCATATACAATCAATAGCTGAATGGATCAGGTGGAAGAAAAGATATCAGAGATTGAAGATCAACTTACTGAAATAAGTCACAAAGACAAGAGTAGAGAAAAAAGAATGAAAAGGAATGAACAAAGCCTCCAAGAAATATGGGACTATGAGAAAAGACCAAACCTACGTTTGATTGGTGTACCTGAAAGTGACAGAGAGAATGGAACCAAGTTGGAAAACACACTTCAGGATATTATCCAGGAGAACTCCCCCAATCTAGCAAGAAAGGCCAATATTCAAATTCAGGAAATACAGAGAACACCACTAACACACTCCTTGAGAAGAGCAGCCCCAAGACACATAATTGTCACATCCTCCAAGGTTGAAATGCAGAAAAAAATGTTAAGGGCAGCCAGAGAGAAAGGTCACGTTACTTACAAAGGGAAGCCCACCAAACCAACAGCGAATCTCTCTGCAGAAACCCTATAAGCCAGAAGAGTGGGGGCCAATATTCAACATTCTTCAAGAAAAGAATTTTCAACCCAGAATTTCATATCCAGCCAAACTAAGCTTCATAAGTGAAGGAGAAATAAAATCCATTTCAGACAAGCAAATACTGAGGGATTTTGTCACCACCAGGCCTGCCTTACAAGAGCTCTTGAAGGAAGCACTAAATATGGAAAGGAAAAACTGGTACCAGCCACTGCAAAAACACACCAACATATAAAGACCAATGACACTATGAAGAAACTGCATCAACTAATGTGCAAAATAACCAGCTAGGATTATTATGACAGGATCAAATTCACACATAACAATATTAACCTTAAATGTAAATGGGCTAAATGCCCCAATTAAAAGACACAGACCGGCAAACTGGATAGAGTCAAGACCCACTGGTGTGCTGTATTCAGGAGACCCGTCTCACATGCAAAGACACACATAGGCTCAAGATAAAGGGATGGAGGAAAATTTACCAAGCAAATGGAAAGCAAGAAAAAAAAAAAAGCAGGGGTTACAATCCTAGTCTCAGACAAAACAGGTTTTAAAACAACAAAGACCAAAAAGAGACAAGGAAGGGCATTACGTAATGGCAAAGGGAACAATTCAACAAGAAGAGCTAACTATTCTAAACATATATGCATCCAAACAGGAGCACTGAGATTCACAAAATGAGTTCTTAGAGACCTACAAAGAGACTTAGACTCCCACACAATAATAATGGGAGACTTTAACACCCCACTGTCAATTTTAGACAGATCAACAAGACAGAAAATTAACAGGGATATTCAGGACTTGAACTCAGCTCAGGATCAAGTGGACCTAATAGACATCCACAGAACTCTCCACCCCAAATCAACAGGATATACATTCTTCTCAGTGACACAAGGCACTTACTCTGAAATCAATCACATAATTGGAAGTGAAACACTCCTCAGCAAATGCAAAAGAACGGAAATCATAACAGTCTCTCAGGCCACAGTGCAATCAAATTAGAATTCAGGATTATGAAATTCCCTCAAAACCACACAATTACATGGAAACTGAACAACCTGCTCCTGAATAACTCCTCAGTAAACAGTGAAATGAAGGCAGGAATCAAGTTCTTTGAAACCAATGAGAACAAAGAGACAACGTACTAGAATCTCTGGGACGCAGCTAAAGCAATGTTGAGAGGGAAATTTATAGCACTAAATGCCCATATCAGAAAGCTAGAAATATCTCAAATCAGTATCCTAACATCATAATTAAAACAGCTAGAGAGGAAAGAGCAAACTAATCTGAAAGCTAGCAGAAGACAAGAAATAACTAAGACCAGAGAAGAACTGAATTGAAGAACTTAAGGAGATCAAGACATGGAAACCCCTCCAAAAAAATCAATGAATCCAGGACCTGGTTTAAAAAAAAAAATTAACAAAATAGATATGCCTCTAGCTAGACTAATAAAGAAGAAAAGAGAGAAGAATCAAATAGACACAATAAAAAATGATAAAGGGGATATCACCACTGACCTCACAGAAATTCAAACTACCATCAGAGAATACTATAAACACCGCTATGCAAATAAACTAGAAAATCTAGAAGAAATGGATAAATTCCTGGACACATACACCCTCCCAAGACTAAACCAGGAATAACTCCAATCCCTGAATAGACCAATAACAAGCTCCAAAATTTAGGCAGTAATTCATAGCCTACCAACAAAAAAAAAGCCCAGAACCAGACGGATTCACAGTTGAATTCTACCAGAGGTACAAAAAGGAGTTGGCACCATTCCTTCTGAAACTATTCCAAACAATTGAAAAGGAGGGACTCCTTCCTAACTTATTTTATACAGCCAGCACCATCCTGATACCAAAGCCGGGAAGACACATGACATAAAAAGAAAATTTCAGGCCAATATCTCTGATGAACATTGATGTGAAAATTCTCAATTAATTACTGGCAAACTGAATCCAGCAGCACATCAAAAAACTTATCCACCACGATCAAGTCAGCTTCATCCCTCGGATACAAGGCTGGTTCCACATATACAAATCAATAAATGTAATCTACCACATAAACAGAAACAAAGACAAAAACCACAGGATTATCTCAATAGATGCAGAAAAGAACTTTGATAAAATTCAACATCCCTTCATGTTAAAAACTCTCAATAAACTAGGCACTGATGGAACATATCTCAAAATAATAAGAGCTATTTATGACAAACCCACAGTCGATGTCATACTGAATGGGCAAAAGCTGGAAGCATTCCCTTTGAAGACTGGCACAAGACAAGGATATCCTCTCTCACCACTCCTATTCAATGTAGTATTGGAAGTTCTGGCCAGGGCAACCAGGCAAGGGAAAGAAATAAAGGGTATTCAAATAGGAAGAAAGGAAGTCAAATTGTCTCTGTTTGCAGATGACATGATTTTATATTTAGAAAACCCCATCATCTCAGCCCCGAAACTCCTTAAACTGATAAGGAACTTCAGCAAAGTCTCACAATACAAAATCAATGTGCAAAAATCACAGGCATTCCTTTACACCTACAATAGACTAGCAGAGAGCCAAATCATGAATGAACTCCCATTCACAACTGCTACAAAGAAAATAAAATACCTACGAATACAGCTAACAAGGGATGTAAGGACCTCTCCAAGGAGAACTACAAACAACTGCTCAAGGAAATAAGAAAGGACACAAACAAATGGAAAAACATTCCATCCTCACGGATAGGAAGAATCAATATTGTGAAAATGGCCATACTGCTCAAAGTAATTCATAGATTCAATGCTATTCCCATCAAACTACCATTGACATTTTTCACAGAATTAGAAAAAAAACTACTTTAAATTTCATATAGAACCAAAAAAGAGCCCATATAGCCAAGACAATCTTAAGCAAAAAGAACAAAGCTGGAGGCATCACACGACCTGACTTCAAACTACACTACACGGCTACAGTAACCAAAACAACATGGTACTGGTACCAAAACAGACATACAGACCAATGGAACAGAAAAGAGACCTCAGAAATACCACCATAAATCTACAACCATCTGATCTTCAACAAACCTGAAAAAAAACAAGCAATGGGGAAAGGATCTCCTATTCAATAAATGGTGCTGGGAAAACTGGCTAGCCATATGCAGAAAACTGAAATCGGACCCCTTCCTTACACCTTATACAAAAATTAACTCAAGATGGATTAAAGACTTAAATGTAAAAACCAGAACCATAAAACCCCTAGAAGAAAACCTAACCAACACCATTCAGGATATAGGCATGGGCAAAGACTTCATGATGAAAACGCCAAAAGCAATTGCAACAAAAACCAAAATTGACAAATGGGATCTAATTAAACTAAAGAGCTTCTGCACAGCAAAAGAAACGATCATCAGAGTCAACAGGCAACCTATAGATGGGAGAAAATTTTTGTGTTCTATCCATCTAACAAAGGTCTAATATTCAGAATTTATAAGGAACTTAAACAAATTTACAAGAAAACAACATACAACCCCATCAAAAAGTAGGCATAGGATATGAACAGACACTTCTCAAAAGAAGACATTTATCCAGCCAGCAAACATATGGAAAAAAACTTAACATCACTGATCATCAGAGAAATGCACATCAAATCTACAATGAGATACCATAACACACCAGCCAGAATGGTGATTATTAAAAAGTCAAGAAACAATAGATGCTGGCGAGGGTGTGGAGAAACAGGAATGCTTTTACGCTGTTGGTGGGAATGTAAATGAGTTTAACCGTTGTGGAAGACAGTATGGCAATTTCTCAAGGATCTAGAACCAGAAATACCATTTAACCCAGCAATCCCATTACTGGGTATATATCCAAAGGAATATAAATCATTCTACTATAAAGACACATGCACACATGTTTATTGCAGCACTATTTACAATAGCAAAGACATAGAACCAACTTAAATGCCCATCAATGATAGACTGGATAAAGAAAATGTGGTACATATATACCATGGAATACTATGCAGACATAATAAGGAATGAGATAATGTCCTTTTCTGGGACATGGGATGAAGCTGGAAGCCATCATCCTCCAGCAAACTAACACAGGAACAGAAAACCAAACACCGAATGCTCTCACACGTAAGTGGGAGTTGAACAATGAGAAAACATGGACACATAGAGGGGAACAACACATGCCAGGGCCTGTTGGGGGGTGGGGGGGCAAGGGGAGGGAACTTAAGAGGACGGGTCAATAGGTGCAGCAAACCACCATGGCACATGTATACCT
The DNA here is from genome assembly GCF_000001405.40 of Homo sapiens. Classification (NCBI taxonomy): domain Eukaryota; kingdom Metazoa; phylum Chordata; class Mammalia; order Primates; family Hominidae; genus Homo; species Homo sapiens. Next base: position 171,016,837 of record NC_000005.10, on the reverse strand, counting down.
ATGTAACAAAACTGCACGTTCTGCACGTGTATCCCGCTTTTTTTTTTAAAGAAGACATAAAAAAATGCATATTATAAATCACAGGGAAACAAATAACAAATAAAACAGAGGTACAACTAATAAGTCAATAGTGAAGATAAAATGGAATAGTAAAAAATACTCAAAAAGAACAAAAAACAATACCTAATGTAAATGACGAGTTAATGGGTGCAGCACACCAACATGGCACACGTATACATATGTAAAAAACCTGCACATTGTGCACATGTACCCTAGAACTTAAAGTATAACAACAACAAAAATATATATAAAGGAAAAAAGAACAAAAACCAGATGGGATAAATAGAAAACAAATGGCAAGGTGGTAGCCATATTGATAATCATATTAAAGAAAAATGGTCTAAAGAGAAGTCAGCAAACTACAGATTACAGGCAAAACTCAGCCTCTCACTTATGTCTTTATGGTATGTAAGCTAAGAATAGCTTTGTCACTTATAGAAATTTTGAAAAATTTTCCAAAAAAATTTAAAACTTGTGCCAATATAGAGTAACAGGGAGTATTGACCCTCTTGCCTAAAACAACTAAAAAAACCTAGACACTTTAAATATATGAAACAACAACCTTCAAGACATTGGAGTCAAGCAAAAAAAAAAAAAAAAAGCAGTGATCCCTAAGAAACAGGACACAAGGGTGAGCCCTGGGATTGCCCCAGAAAAGCAGAACCTTAGTGGAATCCAGCAGACTCTTTTTAAGTTGAGGAGATGGAAAGCGAAATCCAGAGGTCAAAGTAGCTAGAGTTTGCAAAAGTCCTGGAGAGGAGAGAACTCCAATGAGAAGTCTAGAGATGTGAAGGGGATCAATCAACACATGCATGTGAGATATCATGCATCCAATGTTACAGAGGGAAAGAAAACCATCAGAAGGATTAGACAGAATAGTATCTAGGGTTCATACAAGGCCAGAAATAATCTCTATATCAACAGATACAGAAAACCTTCTAATTCATGGTGCATCAAGTACTAAGAAAGATTTTGTTTCAGCATAGGAGAAAAATTAGTCCTAGACTACGTGCTTTTCTAGTTTCGCATAATAAAGTTTAAAAGCAAGATCTGAAAGAAACACACTGTTTCCAAGTAATTTGTTTCCCAGAACAAATCTCAAAAATATTTATAGGAATACAAAAAAATATGTCTGCAATCCAATATAAAAATTACTAGGCATGCAAAGAGAAGAAAAATTTACAGATTATTAAATTATTAGACAAAGACATTAAAACCAATATAATATGTATTTCATATGTTCAAAAAGTTAGAAAATATATTTAGAGACATAGAAAATATAAAAACAGCCCAAACCAGACTGCCTGAGAAGAAAACACAATGTCTGAGATTTTAAAAAATAGACTGGATATGATTAATAAGAGATCAGACATTGTGGAGGAAGGTATTAGTAAACTTATCAACAGCAACAGAAATTATCCAAAGTAAAGTACATACAGAAACAAAGACATCAGCAAGCTGTTGGGCAACATCAAGTGGTCTAATAAATGCGTAACTGCAGTCTTCAAGAAAGTGAAGGGGGAGGAACAGAAAAAATATTTGAAGAAATAAAAGCTAAAAGTTTTCCAAATTTTACAAATGAAACTCAAAATTTACAGATTCAAGAAGCTCAACTCCAAGCACAAGAAATATAAGAAAACAACCAAGGCACACAATAATCAAATTGCTTAAATCCAGTAAGAAGGAAAAAATTTTGAAAGCAGACAGAGTAAAAAGGCAAATTACATACAGTGAAATGGAGAAAAGGATTACAGCAGATTTCTCATCATAAAAAATACAAGTGAGAAGACAATGACACAACTTCTTTAATGTATTGAAAGGGGAAAAAAACTATCAACCTAGAATTATATACCATTGTTAACATCTTCCAAAACAGTAGGCAAAAATAAATGTTTTTCCAGACATATGAAAGCTGAAAGAATCTGTCATTAAGATTTCTCTAATACATGAAATTTTACAAGAAACCCTTCAGAAAGAAAGAAAATGATACCACATGAAACTCTGGATCTGCACAAAAGGAATGAAAACTGGAAATGGTAACTATCTGAGTAAAATACTGATTTTCTTATTATTTAAATCTCTTCAGAAGATAATTAACTTCTTAAAGCAAAAGTAATACCACAGTATTATGAGGCTTATAATGTATATATAAGTAAAATATATGACAACAATAGAACAAGGTCAGCCAGGGAGGAAATGGAAGTACTCTGCTGGAAAGTTCTTTTTTGATAAGTAAAATGGTATAATATCATTTTAAAGGGGACAGTGATAATTAAGGATGTATACTATAAACCCTAAAGCATAACTAACAAAATAATAAAATAGTTATAGCTAGTAAGTTCAAAAAGGGAGATAAATACTAAATGTTCGATCCAAAGAAAGGCAAAAATCCATTGAATAAAACAGATAAAAAGGGAAAACAGTAGATTAAATCCAAGCATACTAATAATTGCAGTACATGTAAATGGTCTATACAGCTCAATTAAAAGGTAGAGATTTTCATCTAGGATAAAGAAAGAAAGAAGGCTGAATCATATGCTGCCTACCACCCTATTTATATAAAGACATAGATAGGTTAAAGATAAAAAAATGAAAAAAAGATATACCATGCCAACATTAATCAAAAGAAAATAGAAGTTGCTATATTAATATCAAACAAAGTAGATTTTGGAGCAAAGAATATTAGCATGAATAAAGAGGGTCTTTTCAAAATAATAAAGAGGTCAATTCATCAAGGATATAAAAATTTGTGGACTTAACAACAGAGTTTCAAAATATATAAAGTGAAACTGTATAGAAGTGTGAGAAGATAAATCCATAGTAAGAGACACTTTAAGACTTCTCCCTCAACAACTGAGAGAACCAAGTACAAAGAGAATCAGGAAGAATACAAAAACCCTCAATATTCTTAAAATGTCAAATTTTAAGACAAATTGATCTGTAACTTCAGTGCAATTCCAATAAACACCATACTCTTCTATTTTTTGTAGAAATGCATGTGTTAATTCTAAAATTTGCATGGAGAGGCACAAAACTAAAATAGCCAAAGCCATTTTTAAAAAAGAATATCGAATTTGGAGGTTTAAACACTATCTGACTTCAAGACTTATTAGAAGCTACAGTAATCCAAATATTGGGATAGGATAGGCTTAAAGATCAATGGGACAAAATAGAGAGTTCAGAAAAAGATCTACACATATATAGTTAATTGATTTCCTCAAAAAAGGCCAAGATAATTAAATGGAAGAAAGGATAGCCTTTTCAACTAATAGTGCTGCAACAACCTGATACTAGTATGTTAAAAAAATATCTAGAACAGGCTGAGAAATGAGCAGTTGATGAGGGCATGGAGACAAGTGGTACAGACAACATTTCTAAGAAGACTGGTTATGAACAAGAAAAAAAGATGAGGTAGTAACCAATAAAGGGGCTATGTGGTTTCTCAATAGGAAAGTCGGCTGGATCACAGTTAGAAGTCCAATAGTTGAGAGCTCTGCTTCAGTCTGATGCTCCACGAAGGCTGGAAGTTGGGCTGAAAGCAGCAGTTTGGGCCATATGGTGGGTGATGAATGTTGAGATTATCCTTGAGTTCTGGGAACTGCTCTGAACAAGTTCATAAGGAACTGTAAGCAGTATCAACTAAATGTGCATCAGTATTATTGCAGCAGTGTAAGGCAGTTCTAAGCTGAACGTACACATACACTCAATGCAATATGTCTTCTGAGATTTAACTCTAAAGTCAAACTAGACATTCAAAGCTTCTAAATATCTTTCAAAAAGTGACTGTTTCCTCATTTGGGTTAACTGAAAAGCTGACAGATGAACAATGAAGCTATACAGACTATCTTAACACGACAGGAGAAATTAAAATGTATGATAGAAGGAATTAAAATGTAACTATTCTGTGATTTGATCGTATCTGCAAGCAACCATATACATTTGTTTTTAAAAGTATACTTTAAACTTCTCAACTAAAAGAAAATATTCAACTTGTAGAAAAAGTCCAAGTTAGAAAGTAATTATTTCTACCTATTAAAACTGTCATGAAAATTATGAGGTAACTGAAAAAGGAACAGCAAATAATGACTTAAACAAGAAATAATACTGTTATTACTTTCTCTTTGGGTATGACCACTGAAAATGTTTCAATTGACTATTTAACAATTTCTACTTTAACTTATGAGAAGCAAACTTCTTAAAAGATGAAGAGATACTTTGCCCAATGATTCTTCTCAGTAAAGAGTGAGAATCTTGATCAAAATTAGTTTTCTCAAAAGAATCCTAGGAAATGTACAATAACTATAATATATAGATTCCAGGCAGCAGATTTTTCGTTTTCAGCAAGGGCTTATGTAAACCAAAAAGACTGGCAATTCAAAAACAGCTATAGAATTTTACCTTGGATAAATACTAAATATCAGTTCATTTCCTTCATGTAAGACCAGCTAAATGAAAAGCAAGCAACGACAATGCAATGCAGAATCAGTATCTCCAGGATAACCATATGAACTTAAGGTTGCTGTTTCCGTCATTTTGCCTTTTGCTCCATAGTTCATTGCTCTGAAGTGCTCTTTTTGCAAAACAATTTATTAAGAATTATCTTTCCTCAGCCACACAGTATTCTTGGCAAATATATTTGTTTAAACAAATTATATTATTTGTTTAAACAAATGTATTATTTGTTTAAACAAATAAACAAACAATATATTCGTTTAAACAAATAATATAATTTGTTTAAACAAATATATTATTTGTTTAAACAAATATATTACTGAGGCAATAACCAGAATAGCTCAAATAGTACGACTTTCTACAAAACAGTGGCTTGGACTTTTCAAAAATGTTAAAATCATGAAAAAACATAAAAGGTAGCAAAACGATGTTAGATTAAAGAGACATTAAATCCAATGCATGTCCGGTTCAGATATTTTTTTTAAAGTTATATAGGACATTACTGGGACAAACGAGAAACAACTAGGAACTATGTATTAAATAATATTCCTATATCATTACAACATTTGAGTGTAATCATAGTATTGCGTTTGTGTATGAGAATATTCTTGTTCTCAGGAGGTATATAAAAAATACTAGGGGTTAACTCTCATGATGTTATGTAACTTATTTTCAAATGGTTTACCAAAAAAAGGTTATATATCATATGTATGCATAAATGTATATATAGATGTAGAAAGAGAGAGGTAAAACAAATGTGGCAAAATGCACAGTATGAAGGCATTTGTTAAATTATTAAGTTTTCTGTGGGTTTGAAAGTTTCCAAAATATGTCATTGGAAAAAATAATTTTCCATAATTATCATGAAAAATGGGTTAAAATTCAATTCCTTTTAAACACATATTAAAAAAAAGAACAGAACGAATAACTACCCATTATACAAGTACTAAGGGAGACTATATAGGCCAAAAAACATACTAGTTGGTTATCCTCATATGATACCTGGTCATTTCTGATAATAAATTGGATAATAACATCAATATTTATTCACATTCTTATGTGATGGCAAACTAAGCAAATACAAGCAGTACAATATCTACTGTTAGTTGAATTAATCTTAAAAACTAATGAATTCTTTTTGAAACCTAGTAATTTGGGTAAAGTTTAAAATTATTGGGAATTTTTGTATTTGTGCTCATGAGAGATGTTAGTCTGCAATCTTTTTTGGAAATGCCCTTGTCAGGTTTTTGTATTAGTTAGATTAGACTCATAAAAGAAACTGGGAAGTTCTTCTCTTCCTCTTTTTTCTGAATGTTTATGTAAGAGTGGTATTATTTTTTCCTCCAATGTTTGATAGAATTCGTCAGTGAAATCCTGTGGGCCTGCAATTTCCTTTGTATGAAGATTTTAAATTACGTATTACAATTCCTTTTATTAAAATGTAAACCCACTTACAAGTTTCCATTTCTTCTCTTACTAGTTTTGATAAGTTCTGTTTTTAAAAGATTTTGTCATTTTTCTCTAAGTTGTCAAATTTACTGGTATAAACTTATTCATAAGACTCCCTAATAATCCTTTTAACATCTATAGGATCTATACTGATGTACCCTCTTTCATTCCTGATACTGGTTTTTTGTGGGGGATAGGGGAATTTCCTCATTTTTCCCCCTTAGATTTTTTAGCATATTTATTATAGTTAAGGTACCTGTCTAGTAATCCAGCATCTGAGTGAACTGCTGGTCTCTTTCTGCAGATTTTTTTCCAATGAGTTGCCTTTCCTTATTTCCTCACTTGTCTATTAATTTCTGGCTGGGCACTTCATATAATCTTGGAACTCTGTATTGTATTAGCTTCCTCCAGAAAATAATGAATTTTATTCTTACAGACAACTGAATTAATGGAGGATCACCTTAACCTGTAAGGGCTTGCTTAAAGGTTAGAACATATTGATAGCTATTTCAGTTTGGCTTTGGTTTTATCGTGAAGATCTTAATCATAGGATAAGATCCATACTGTGTGTGGCCATTTCAGGTTTTCCGTAGCAAGCCTGAGGCATTTACCAAGTTCCTCTATTTTAGCAGGGTGGGAACTCTAAAGTCCATCTCCAGCAACTGCTAAGATCTCTCTTTAATTCTTTAAGCTTTCTGCCTATTGTTCCTTCATTGCCTCTGGGTTTCCTGGAATCTTGTCCCGCATGGTTGTGGGGGAAACCTGCATACAAATTTGGGGGTTCCCTCACTTTGTGGCTCCTTCCTTTCTGGGATCACTCTCAATTTTTCACCTGCTTTCATTGCCCTAAATATCATCCTCTAACTCATCAAAAAGAGGGCTGATTTCTGCTTGAGCTGTATTCCCATATACTGCATAAACTTGTGCATTTATTTAAAGAATAAGTCAGATAAATGTAGACCTCAACCAGTTTGGTTCCTTTCCATAAAGGTGCATCTTACCTCCAATTCCTACCTACTTTTGATCACTCTCCAGTGCCTTCAAACAGTGTTTCTTTTTCTTTAATGTTTTGTCCAGAGGTTATAATTGTTATCAGCAAGATGGTTACTTGATACAAGTGTTTCCATCAGTTACCAAAAGCTAGAAGACTATAATAATTACTTTTAACAGCAACAAACATTTACATTCTGAGGTCCTGATTCAAAAAATTTTTCAAAAATAATTTCCCTAACCTCAGTCACACTGAAGTTGACTATGTAGCCTATAGGTAGAAAATTTTATCATAAGAAAAGAACTTGGAGATCACCTAGTTTAGAATTTACCCTTTTATTCAGGGGATTTACAAATCACTTTATGAATCTGATGAACACTACAAACCTCACAAAAGTGTACAAAATAAAAATATCTGTATATTACCTCAAGGGTCCTAAGACCCATTTATACCAATCCAATTCAATCCTTTCATTTTACATGAAGTAAATCTAAGATTTAGATTATAAGCAACTTACCCAAAGTTACAAGTAAAGCAATGTTAATAGCTATGATTTAGAGAACACCAATCTTGTTTGACACTCTTTATATTTATTATCTCTAACCCTCAAACAGTCCAGCAGTGTTTTATTTAGGGAAACTGACATGCAGAAAAGTTAGGTAAATTGCTTAACTGTCACAAACCTACTAAGTGATAAAGATTGGCACTGAAATCAAGTTCAGATTTCAAAGCCAAAATGATTTCCACTACAAGGTGCAGCCTTAGTGGCAGGGACAAAATGAGGCAGGAAGTCTCTTGACTCTGTCTTCCTCATTAAATAGCTTGGAGATAACATGCCCAAGCCATGGCATTGAAATGAACATTTAGCAGTGCCAAATAAATAAGTAATGCCATTTAATAACCTGTAAATTATACAAATTGAAAAGGAGCACTATAGAAAATTGGGAAGCATCTATATTTAATAGTCATCAAAACACGCTTACAAATGTGGTAACAGTAAAGAAAGGTGGTACATTTAATTGAAAACATAAGGTCAGTATGTCAGGCCTCTGAGCCCAATCTAAGCCATCATATCCCCTGTGACCTGCCTGTATACATCCAGATGGCCTGAAGCAACTGAAGATCCACAAAAGAAATGAAAATAGCCTTAACTGATGACATTCCACCCTTGTGATTTGTTTTTGCCCCACCGTAACTGATGAATGTACTTTGTAATCTTCCCCACCCTTAAGAAGGTTCTTTGTAATTCTCCCCACCCTTGAGAATGTACTTTGTGAGATTCACCCCCTACCCGCAAAACATTGCTCCTAACTCCACTGCCTATCCCAAAACCTGTAAGAACTAATGATAATCCCACCATGCTTTGCTGACTCTCTTTTCAGACTCAGCCTGCCTGCACCCAGGTGAAATAAACAGTCTTGTTGCTCACACAAAGCCTGTTTGGTGATCTCTTCACACGGACGTCCGTGACATTTGGTGCCAAAGACCCGGGTCAGAGGGACTCCTTTGGGAGACCAGTCCCCTGTCCTCACCCTCACTCCGTGAAGAGATCCACCTATGACCTCGGGTCCTCAGACCAACCAGCCCAAGGAACATCTCACCAATTTCGAGTAAGCGGTCTTTTCACTCTCTTCTCCAGCCTCTCTCGCTACCCTTCAATCTCCCTGTCCTTCCAATTCCAGATCTTTTCCCTCTCTAGTACAGACAAAGGAGACACATTTTATCTGTGTACCCAAAACTCCGGCACCGGTCACAGATTCAGGAAGACAGTCTTCCCTTGGTGTTTAATCATTGCAGGGATGCCTGCCTGATTATTCACCCATATTCCACTGGTGTCTGATCACCACAGGGACTCCTGCCTTGGTCATTTACCCATATTCCCTTGGTGGCAAGTCAATTGCAGGGATGCCTGCTTTGGCTGCTCACCCACATTGCAGCCCAGGGTTGCTCCCCACCGGCTTCGCCATATCTACCCTTCTCTTTAAACTTGCCTCCTTCACTATGGGCAAACTTCCACCCTCCATTCCTCCTTCTTCTCCTTAGCCTGTGTTCTCAAGAACTTAAAACCTCTTCAACTCTTGCCTGACCTAAAATCTAAGCATCTTATTTTCTTCTGCATCACTGCTTGGCCCCAGTACAAACTCGACAATGGTTCTAAATGGCCAGAAAACGGCACTTTTGATTTCTCCATCCTACGAGACCTAGATAATTTTTGTCGAAAAATGGGCAAATAGTCTGAGATGCCCTACGTCCAGGCATTTTTCACACTTCGTTCCCTCCCTAGTCTCTGTTCCCAATGCAACTTGTCCCAAATCCTCCTTCTTTCCCTCCCACCTGTCCCTTCAGTCCCAACCCCAAGCATCGCTGAGTCTTGTGAATCTTCCTTTTCTACTGACCCATCTGACCTCTCACTTCCTTCCCAGACTGCTCCTCCTCAAGTCGCTCCCTGCCAGGCTGAATCAGGCTCCAACTCTTCTTCAGCCTCTGCTCCCCTACCCTATAACCCTTCTATTACCTCCCTCTCCACACCTGGTCTGGTTTACAGTTTCTTTCTGCAACTAGCTCTCCCCCACTGCCCGACAATTTCCTCTTAGAGAGTTGGCTGGAGCTGAAGGAACAGTCAGGGTACGTGTGCCTTTTTCTCTATCAGACCTTTCCCAAATCAGCCAGCGTTTAGGCTCTTTCTCATCAGACCCCACTAAATATACACAGGAATTCTGATATCTAACTCTGTCCTACAATTCAACCTGGAGTGACTTAAATGTCATCCTAACTTCTACCCTTTCCCCAGATGAACGGGAAAGACTTTTTTCTCTAGCCCAATCTCACACTGATAACCACCGGCTTCATGAGCCAGACCTCCCGGAAGGCATGAGAGCAGTTCCCCGAGAAGATCCCCAATGGAACTATCAGGCAGATTCCCCAGGTATAGCTAAGCGAGATTACGTGGTTTCCTGCCTAGTTGAAGGGCTTAAAACGGCAGCTTACAAAGCTGTTAATTATGACAAACTTAAAGAAAATACCCAACGTAAAGACGAAAACCCAGCCCAGTTCATGGCCCGCTTAGCAGCAACCCTTAGATGCTTTACCACCCTAGACCCAGAGGGGCCAGAAGGCCGACCTATTCTTTTTTTTTTTTTTTAATACTTTAAGTTTTAGAGTACATGTGCACAATGTGCAGATTTGTTACATATGTATACATGTGCCATGTTGGTGTGCTGCACCCATTAACTCGTCATGTAACATTAGGTATATCTCCTAATACTATCCCTCCCGCTTCCCCCACCCCACAATAGGCCCCGGTGTGTGATGTTCCCCTTCCTGTGTCCATGTGTTCTCATTGTTCAATTCCCACCTATGAGTGAGAACGTGGAGTGTTTGGTTTTTTGTCCTTGCGATAGTTTGCTGAGAATGATGGTTTCCAGCTTCATCCATATCCCTACAAAGGACATCAACTCATAATTTTTTATGGCTGCATAGTATTCCATGGTGTATATGTGCCACATTTTCTTAATCCAGTCTATCATTGCTGGACATTTGGCTTGGTTCCAAGTCTTTGCTATTGTGAATAGTGCCACAATGAACATACGTGTGCATGTGTTTTTATAGCAGCATGTTTTATAATTCTTTGGGTATATACCCAGTAATGGGATGGCTGGGTCAAATGGTATTTCTAGTTCTAGATCCCGAAGGAATCGCCATACTGACTTCCACAATGGTTGAACTAATTTACAGTCCCACCAACAGTGTAAAACTGTTCCTATTTCTCCACATCCTCTCCAGCACCTGTTGTTTCCTGACTTTTTAATGATTGCCATTCTAACTGGTGTGAGATGGTATCTCATTGTGGTTTTGATTTGCATTTCTCTGATGGCCAGTGATGATGAGCATTTTTTCATGTGTCTTTTGGCTGCATAAATGTCTTCTTCTGACAAGTGTCTGTTCATATCCTTTGCCTACTTTTTGATGGGGTTGTTTGTTTTTTTTCTTGTAAATTTGTTTGAGTTCATTGTAGATTCTGGATATTAGCCCTTTGTCAGATGAGTAGATTGCAAAAATTTTCCCCCATTCTGTAGGTTGCCTGTTCACTCTGATGGTAGTTTCTTTTGCTGTGCAGAAGCTCTTTAGTTTAATTAGATCCCATTTGTCAATTCTGGCTTTTGTTGCCATTGCTTTTGGTGTTTTAGACATGAAGTCCTTGCCCATGCCTATATCCTGAATGGTATTTCCTAGGTTTTCTTCTAGGGTTTTTATGGTTTTAGGTCTAACATGTAAGTCTTTAATCCATCTTGAATTAATTTTTGTATAAGGTGTAAGGAAGGGATCCAGTTTCAGCTTTCTACATATGGCTAGCCAGTTTTCCCAGCACCATTTATTAAATAGAGAATCCTTTTCCCATTTCTTGTTTTTGTCAGGTTTGTCAAAGATCAGATAGTTGTAGATATGCGGCATTATTTCTGAGGGCTCTGTTCTGTTCCATTGGTCTATATCTCTGTTTTGATACCAGTACCATGCTGTTTTGGTTACTGTAGCCTTGTAGTACAGTTTGAAGTCAGGTACCATGATGCCTCCAGCTTTGTTCTTTTGGCTTAGGATTGACTTGGCAATGCAGGCTCTTTTTTGGTTCCATATGAACTTTAAAGTAGTTTTTTCCAATTCTGTGAAGAAAGTCACTGGCAGCTTCATGGGGATGGCATTGAATCTATAAATTACCTTGGGCAGTATGGCCATTTTCACGATAAAGGCCGCCTTATTCTTAATATGCATTTTATCACCCAGTCAGCTCCTGACATTAGAAAAAAGCTTCAAAAATTGGAATCCGGCCCTCAAACCCCACAATAGGAATTAATCAACCTCACCTTCAAGGTACACAATAATAGAGAGGGGGTAGCCAGACAGCAACGTATTTCTGAGTTACAGCTACTTGCCTCCGCTGTAGGAAAACCCACAACCACATCTCTAGCATGCAAGAACTTTAGAACATCCAAGCCACAGCTCGCAGGGGCTCCTTCAAAACATCCTCATGGACCTTGCTTCAAATGCCAAAAGCCTGGCCACTGGGCCTCAGAATGTCCTCAGCCTGGGATTCCTCCTAAGCCGTGCCCTGTCTGTGTGGGCCCCCGCTGGAGGTCAGACTGTCCGACTCACATCACTGCTGCTCCTAAAACCCCTGAAGCCCAAACCCAACATTCCTTGACTGACTCCTTCCCAGATCTCCTTGGCTTAGCAGCTGAAGACTGATGCTGCCCATCGCCTTGGAAGCCCCCTGGACTATCATGGATGCTGAGCTTCAGGTAACTCTTACAGAGAAGAGTAAGTCCGTCCCCTGTTTAATCGATACGGGGGCTACCCACTCCACATTACCTTCTTTTCAAGGGCCTGTTTCCCTTGCCCCCATAACTGTTGTGGGTATTGATGGCCAAGCTTCAAAACCCCTTAAAACTCCCCCAGTCTGGTGCCATCTTGGACAACATTCTTTTATGCACTCTTTTTTATCCCCACCTGCCCAGTTCCCTTATTAGACTGAGACATTTTAACCGAATTATCTGCTTCCCTGATTATTCCTGGACTGCAGCCACATCTCATTGCCACCCTTCTTCCCAACCCAAAGCCTCCTTCGTGTCTTCCTCTCATATCCTCCTACCTTAACCCGCAAGTATGGGACATCTCCACTCCCTCCCTGGCAACCGATCACACGCCCATTACTATCCCATTGAAACCTAATCACCCTTACCCCACACAATGCCAGTATCCCATCCCACAACAGGCTTTAAGGGGATTAAAGCCTGTTATCACTTGCCTGCTACAGCATGGGCTTCTAAAACCTATAAACTCTCCTTACAATTCTGCCATTTTACCTATTCAAAAACCGGACAACTCTTACAGGTTAGTTCAATATCTGTGCCTTATCAACCAAATTGTTTTGCCTATCCACCCTGTGGTGCCCAACCCATACACTCTTTTGTCCTCAATATCTTCCTCCACAACTCACTATTCCATTCTTGATCTTAAAGATGCTTTTTGCACTATTCCCCTACACCCCTCGTCCCAGCCTCTCTTTGCTTTTACCTGGCCTGACGCTGACACCCATCAGTCCCAGTAGCTTACCTGGGCTGTACTGCCGCAAGGCTTCAGGGACAGCCCTCATTACTTCAGCCAAGCTCTTTCTCATGATTTACTTTCTTTCCACCCCTCCACTTCTCACCTTATTCAATATACTGATGACCTTCTACTTTGTAGCCCCTCCTTTCAATCTTCTCAACAGGACACCCTCCTGCTCCTTCAACACTAATTCTCCAAGGGATATGGGGTATCCCCCTCCAAAGCTCAAATTTCTTCTCCATCCGTTACCTACCTCGGCATAATTCTTCATAAAAACACACGTGCTCTCCCTGCCGATAGTGTCTGACTGATCTCTCAAACCCCAACCCCTTCTACAAAACAACAACTCCTTTCCTTCCTGGGCATGGTTGGATACTTTTGCCTTTGGATACCTGGTTTTGCCATCCTAACAAAACCAATACATAAACTCACAAAAGGAAACCTAGCTGACCCTATAGATCCTAAATCCTTTCCCCACTCCTCTTTCTGTTCCTTGAAGACAGCTGTAGAGACTGCTCCCACAATAGCTTTCCCTGACTCATCCTAACTGTTTTCATTACATACAGCTGAATTGCAGGGCTGTGCATTTGGAATTCTTACACAAGGACCAGGACCGCACTCTGTAGCCTTTTTAACCAAACAATTGACCTTACTGTTTTAGGCTGGCCATCATGTCTCCGTGCAGCGGCCGCCATTGCCCTAATACTTTCAGAGGCCCTCAAAATCACAAACTATGCTCAACTCACTCTCTACAGTTCTCATAACTTCCAAAATCTATTTTCTGCCTCACACATGACACATATACTTTCTGCTCCCTGGCTCCTTCAGTTGTACTCACTCTTTGTTGAGTCTCCCACAGTTACCATTGTTCCTGACCCAGACTTCAATCCGGCCTCCCACATTATTCCCGAAACCACACCTGACCCCCATGACTGTATCTCTGATACACCTGACATTCACTCCATTTCCCCATATTTCCTTCTTTCCTGTTCCTCAATCTGATCACACTTGGTTTACTGATGATAGTTCTACCAGGCCTAATCGCCACTCACCAGCAAAGGCAGGCTATGCTATAGTATCTTCCACATCTATCACTGAGGCTACCATTCTGCCCCCTTCCACTACCTCTCAGCAAGCCAAACTCATTGCCTTAACTCAGGCCTTCACTCTTGCAAAGGGACTATGTGTCAATATTTATACTGACTCTAAATATGCCTTCCATATCCTGCACCACCATGCTGTTATATAGGCTGAAAAAGGTTTCCTCACTACACAAGGGTCCTCCAACATTAATGCCTCTTTAATAAAAACTCTTCTCAAGGCCGCTTTACTTCCAAAGGAAGCTGGAGTCATACACTGCAAGGGCCATCAAAAGGCATCAGATCCCATCACTCAGGGCAACGCTTATGCTGATAAGGTAGCTAAAGAAGCAGCTAGCATTCCAACTTCTGTCCCTCACGGCCAGTTTTCCTCCTTCTCATCAGTCACTCCCACCTACTCTCCCACCGAAACCTCCACCTATCAATCTCTTCCCACACAAGGCAAATGGTTCTTGGACCAAGGAAAATATCTCCTTCCAGCCTCACAGGCCCATTCTATTCTATCGTCATTTCATAACCTCTTCCATGTAGGTTACAAGCCACTAGCCCGCCTCTTAGAACCTCTCATTTCCTTTCCATTGTGGAGGTCTATCCCTAAGGAAATCACTTCTCAGTGTTCCATCTGCTATTCTACTACTCCTCAGGGATTGTTCAGGCCCCCTCCCTTCCCTACACGTCAAACTCGGGGATTTGCCCCTGCCCAGGACCAGCAAATTGACTTTACTCACATGGCTCGAGTCAGGAAACTAAAATACCTCTTGGTCTCGGTAGATGCTTTCACTGGATGGGTAGAGGCCTTTCCCATAGGGTCTGAGAAGGTCACTGCGGTCATTTCTTCCCTTTTGTCAGACGTAATTCCTCGGTTTTGCCTTCCCACCTCTATACAGTCCAATAACGGACTGGCCATGATTAGTCAAATCACCCAAGCAGTTTCTCAGGCTCTTGGTATTCAGTGGAAACTTTGTACCCCTTACCATCCTCAATCTTCAGGAAAGGTAAAATGGGCTAATGGTCTTTTAAAGACACACCTCACCAAGCTCAGCCTCCAACTTAAAAAGGACTGGACAGTACTTTTACCTCTTGCCCTTCTCAGAATTAGATCCTGTCCTCGAGATGCTACAGAGTACAGCCCATTTAAGCTCCTGCATGGACACTCCTTTTTATTAGGCTCCAGTCTCATTCCAGACACCAGCCCAACTTGAAGTGTACCCCAAAAACTTGGATAGAGCCTTGAAAGTCGCCAACCAAGCAAACAATAACATTGAACCCCCTTGGACGCTCTCTAATTGGACGTCCTGGGTACTCCCAATTCTTAGTCCTTTAACACCTATTTTTCTCCTTCTTTTATTCGGACCTTGTGTCTTTCATTTAGTTTCTCAATTCATACAAAACCGCATTCAGGCCAACACCAATAATTCGATATGACAAACGCTCCTTCTAACAACCCCACAATATCACCCCTTACCCCAAAATCTTTCTTCAGTTGAATCTCTCCCATTGCAGGTTCTCATGCTGCCCCTAATCCCCTCGAAGCAGCCCTGAGAAACATTGCCCATTCTCTCTCCATACCACCCCCAAAATATTTCACTGCTCCAACACTTCACCACTATTTTGCTTTGCTTTTCTTATTAATATAAGAAGACAGGAATGTCAGGCCTCTGAGCCCAAGCTAAGCCATCATATCCCGTGACCTGCACATATACATCCGGACGGCCTGAAGCAACTGAAGATCCACAAAAGAAGTGAAAACAGCCTTAACTGATGACATTCCACCACTGATTTGTTTCTGCCCCACCCTAACTGATGAATGTACTTTGTAATCTTCCCCACCCTTAAAAAGGTTCTTTGTAATTCTCCCCATCCTTAAGAAGGTTCTTTGTAATTCTCCCCACCCTTGAGAATGTACTTTGTGAGATCCACCCCCTGCCCGTAAAACATTGCTCCTAACTCACTGCCTATCCCAAAACCTATAAGAACTAATGATAATCCCACCAAGCTTTGCTGACTCTCTTTTCAGACTCAGCCCGCCTGCACCCAGATGAAATAAACAGACTTGTTGCTCACACAAAGGCTGTTTGGTGGTCTCTTCACACGGACGCGCATGACACGGATGCGTGTGACACAGTAGATTTCAATAGTCAATATATTCAGATTTAAAAGCAATTTTGCATTGATAGGCCCCAAAAGACCTTTCAAGTTAAAAAGCTTGACTATAGCTACATCATTTTTTTTGTAAACAGAATTTATACATATTTTGTATGAATAAAAGACTTCAGTAAAACAAAGTAGAAAATAAGTGTTGGTGAGGATGTGGAGAAACTCGAATCCTTGTGCAATGCTGGTGGAAATATTAAGTGGTACAACTGCTGTAGAAAAGAGCATGGAGGTTCCTCAAAAAAATAAACACAAAATTACCCATGATGCAGCAATTCTACTCCAAAAGAATTGAAAGCAGGGTCTCGAAGAGATATTTGTATATCCATATTCATAGCAGCATTATTCATGATAGCTAAAACATGGAAGCAACCCAAGTGTCTACTGATGAATGAATGGATAAGCAAAATGTGATATACATATACAAGGGAATAATAGTCTTAAAATAGAAAAAAATTCTGATGTCTGCTACAATATAAGCTACCCTTAAGGACATTATGTGAAGTAAAATAAGCCAGTCACAAGCACACTAATACCATGTGATTCCACTTACATGAAGTACCTAGGGTTGTCACAATCACTGAGACAATAACTAGAATGGTAGTTGCCAAGGACTGGTGGGAGGATGCAAATTATTGTTTAATGGGTATAGTGTTTCAGTTGTGCAGATGAAAAGACTTCTGGAGATGAATGGTGGTGATGGTTGCACAACAATATGAATGTATTTAATATCACTGAACTGCATACTTTAAAATGGTTAAGATAGTAAATTTTATGTTGTATATTTCTTACCACAATAAAAAATATGGAACAAAAGACTTCAGAAAGAATAATAGGTATTAGGTTATAGCAACTATATTAAAAATTCATCTATCTCAAGACACATATTTCAATTATCTTTGAGAATTCCCATATTTTTCTAAGCACGTAAAAACAATCAAACTAAATGTATATAGCATTCATTTTTAAGTTTACAAAAAGATTATATCAATTCTGAATTATTTAAATATTAGTTTACAAATATTGTTTATAGTTTAATAGCATTATAGGTACAGCTTCACAAAGATATTGGCTCTAGACAGTAATTATATACTCAGCCTAATGTTTCAGTTAATGGACATGCATTTCAGCGATAATTGCAATGCTTGAACATAATGTGCCTTTATTAGCAGTATAAAATAAAGCCAGCTTATACCAATTGAAAAACTAGGCTATTTATTTTTATAACTGCTTAATTTTTATTATAAAAATATGATGAAAGAAAACCCCATCCTGTAACAAATGTCAGGATTTTATTTACAATTATAGAAATATACTTAAAATTTAATTATTGCAAACACTGATATAGGCTCTACTTGTGAAAAATCAATTAATGCAATGATTTAAGAAAATAAATAATAATTAGCTAAAATCATTACATCAGGAAAATAAAGGCCTAGATTCTAGTTTTCTCTCCAATACTAGCAATATGAGACAGTGGGCAAGTCACACATTTTCAGTGAGCCTCAAATTTTTTTAACTGCCTCACAGTAGCAGATGATTTATCAAGATATTTTCTTGTTCTGAACTATACAATGGTATTATAGTATATAAATATAAAATAACACGTAAGCAAAATATCCTAAAATGTGATCATCTATCTAGGTACATTTTCTGTATCTAGAAAACAACACTCACAAATGAAAAATTACTAGAAAAAATCTGAAATTTCCTTTCCAAAATAAAAAAAGGTTACACAAATTAAAAATCACAGCCCTAAGAACTGTATCCCTCTAATATGTATTTTGTAATTAAAACCATAAGAGACGATTTGATTTCTCAACAGCAAAAGTATCTGAATGAACATCCAAGACACAATAAAGCACAGTAAAACAGACTAGTCAGTAGGTCTATTTTTAATTAGTAGTGGTTAAAATGCCTAACAAACTTCAACAAGACTATTACACTGTTTAATGAGAAGGGCTTAACGATGTATTAATATTGCTATCAAAGCCCTCTACTACTTTTAGTACTGACATTATTTCTAAGTGGAATATTGTGCACATTTAAATACTGTGACAATGTAGAGTCTAACCACAATCATTTTGGTAATTTTACACGGATAAGCCTCAGAATGAAATAAATTTTTAAAAAGCAAACCAAAGTTTATAAATGGCTTCTACGTCTTTTACAAAATAGCTCCATGCCAAAGTGACCTGAGTGTTCCTAATGATTTGAAATGGCAATTGCTCCAACGTGACCATTATGTTCAAAATGCTATATTCAAAAATCTACACACATAACAATAAAATATTCCAATGAGAAATGTACATGCATTTCACAGACCTCATAGCATACTGTGCAACTAAGTATAAAAGAAAAGTAATATGAAATTGTTAGACTTTCATCTATATAATCAAGTTAACTGTGAAGACAGAAAAAGGGTTTTTTTTTTTTTTCTCCAGTAGAGATGGGGTTTCTCCATGTTAGCCAGGCTGGTCTCAAATCCCTGGCCTCATGTGATCCGCCCGCCTCAGCCTCCCAAAGTGCTGGGATTACAGGTGTGAGCCACTGCACCAGGCCAAAGAAGGGCATTTTTAAAATTAATATGTTTCTTTTTATAAGAAATAATACTGGAAAATACAGAAAAGCAGAGGAAAATAAATTCTCTGTGTCATGAGAACTAAAGAAAATGAACATTTTGGTTCATTTCCTTATGGTGCTTTTGTTCCTCCTATTGTCATACAGTTGAGATCTTATTATATTATTTAATACTGTGTATTGTTTTCCATTCACAACATAAAGGAAACTTTTTTCTCAAGTGATTTCAGAATTTCCCTAATGATAGATGTGAGTCTGTTCATACTGAATTTAAACAGAAATACTGGATTAGTATACGCTTTTCTAACAGTTTGGAATTACACAAGAATGGGTATGTAGTATTTAACTAAGCCAAATAGGCAAACAGCAACCTATGTCAAGCATGCTAGAAAGACTTTCTGAGAGGACTTATAAAGAAATCTCTCAAACCTTGGTAGTACATTTACTATGTGGACTGGGAGGAAGAACTTTTGGACCAGTTTCTTCAAGAGTAGTTGAGGGATCATCTATCTCAAAATTACCAGAAGTGCTTGTTAAAATACAGATTTCTGGGTCCTACCTCAGATTTACTGCATATGAATCTCTGAGGGATACAGGACGCTGGATTGAACAAACTCTCCGCCCTCCACTCCGTGTATTAGTCCATTCTTACACTGCTATAAAGAACAGCCCAAGACTGGGTAATTTAGAAAGGAGAGAGGTTTAATTGACTCCCAGTTCTGCATGGCTGGGGAAGCCTCAAGAAACTTACAATCACGGCAGAAGGCGAAGGGGAAACAATGCAAGTTCTTCACAAGGCGGCAGGAGGGAGAATGAATGCAGCAGGAACTACCAAACACATAAAACCATCAGATCTCGTGAGAACTCACTCACTATCACGAGAACAGCATGGGGGGAAACTGCCCCCATGATCCAATTACCTCCATCTGGTCTCTCTTTTGACACATGACGATTATGATTCAAAATGAGATTTGGGTGGGGACACAAAGCTTAACCGTATCATTCAGGATTCTTATGTGTTTAATCACCTTTCTAGACACATCACACTGAAGATTTGGAGTCAAAATGCAGTTTTGGGGACTTAACTGTAATTGGGTTCCCCCCCTTTTGCTAGCAATCCACTTCAATTTTATAGAAACTAATGCAAAATGAGTAGGAACACAGAGAAATGTTCATCCCTTTCATATAGTTGAGAAAGATAAATTATTCTTTTCTAAAAGGAAAAGTAGTAATGATGACAATGTAACCTAAGATACATTTTTTATTTCCAAACTGAAGCAGTACATCTTACCCAGAAAGTAAAATGCTAAACATTATGTACACCTACGGCAAGTGCTTTTGAGTACAACCATCCTAGGTCTGAATGCTGTCTTCATGACTTTTTATCTGCAAAAACTTTTTGGCATAACTATGAAATCAGAATGCTCCAGAACAGAAAACTTTCTTCATATTCACCTAGTATAGTGGCTGAAAAGCTATTTTACACAGTACGGATAAAACAAATCCCAATTTCAAATGATCAAGACAACCAATCTCATGAAGACTATTTTTGCTTCCTCTGAACTCCATTACAGGTATTATGACAATCACTCCAAGTCAAATTTCCATTAAAAAATTTTCCATTCCTCATTTTATTTCATTGACATTATTGTCTACTATTATCCTTATCTTTTCATTCATTGCCTTGCTTTTTAGGGAAAAAAACAGCTTTAACTAACACTTAATAACCGTGAGGAAGGAGAGGGTCCCTCAAGCATTCTCTTTCTCAGACTTTTAGATTTCTAGCCCTTTTGATGTAGAAAGATTATCATTTTTCCATGAGCTTTTCTTAAAAATAAAATTATTTGAGGGGCTATGGAGGGTAACTGAAGGTATATAACAGGCCCTGAGATGAGCAATAACTTTTTTTTTTTAAGAGACAATTTCTCCTATGTTGCCAGGCTGAAGTGCAGTGGCTATTCTCAGGTGTGATCATAGCACACTGCAGCCTGAAAATCCTGGCCCCATGGGATCCTCCTGCATCAGTTCCCCAAGTATCTGGAACTACAAGGCACATGCTACTGTGAACAGCATTAACATTTAAATGTATTTTCTTCCAATCGTTTTAGTGATGTTTAAAAACATTTATATGTTTATAATTTGTTCACCCCCTCCCTTTTAAATGTAAGATTATATGCAAAACATCAATCATGTAAAACATTTTTCATAAAGGAAAATGTCTAGAGTGATACAGTGGTTATGCCTAGAAAGAGGGAGTACAATGGGGTAAAGAACAAAACTTTTTACATTCAGTAAACAAGTTTCATTATCTGCCTCATATTTCATCATATGGCTGTACAACCTATTTAATCAACCATCGACTCTATCAAATATCACTGGGATTAATACCTTGGTATACAAAGCTTTGTCTGTATTTCAAATTATTTATTCAGACTGCACTTCCAGACATGAAACACTGTGTCAACAGATAGGAATATTTTTAAGGACCTTCATACTATAATTTTATTTGGTTTGGTTTCTCTGAAGTCAAAACAGGAAAGAAAAGTAGGTTACAAAATAAAAGTAGGTTACAAAATAAATTGGAGAACAATTTACTTTGAAAGTAAAAACCACACAAACCCATCTTTAACCTAATACATAGAAAATACATGCTAATTGACACCTTGTAAAAGACAACATGGTAAATGCAAAAATGGGTACGTAGCTTGGCCATAAATGTCAAGATCTTAAAGAAAAGATATGCATACAACATGTCTCGGAAATGTTTCAACTGTAACACATAAAATCACCACGTAAGATCATAAAAATCTTAATAATTTAATTAATGCAATATACAGTTTGACTTTCTTCAACTGGCTGATTTAACTAGGAATATTTGAAAGCAGACATCTGAATATACACCAGAACTAATTCTCATTTCATAGGGAATTCTTACTGTCTTTATAGGCCTTGAATAGGTATCAGTTATAAAGGCAATGTTATTATTCTAAATATTATCAACATTTACCAGTTACAAATTCTTAGATGTTTTCTGACATAAGATCTAGATTTAAGTTTAAATTATAGGTATACTATCCCTTTAGAATAAATCCAACAACGTCATGGTCAAAAAGTAAAAAGTGAATATAATGAGTCATTTATGAAAAGAGAGCTTAAACTCGTTGATAATTTGTTAGGCTGATTAAAATGTATAGCTCTAAATGACCTTACAGCTACCTTAATAGACAGATTTCTATAATTGCATTAGGCACTATCTACTAGAGGGTATTGAAAAGAAAGACAACAAATAAGCAAGTAAACCAAATTCTTTAAGATCTAAATGTACATGAAATGAGGTTTATCAGCATTTCTTGGGATAGAATCTGGTCCATATTTAATCATCTTTCTCCCAATACAGAAAGTTAACACCAATTATCTAGTTACTCAGAATCATAAGACACAATTTATAAAGATCAAACTCTGAAAATCTTGGACCTTTTCACGTATGATCCAGCAATGATAATCTTACCTCATCCCTACAAATTAAAATTTACAGAAGTCTAAGAATCTGTGTTTTAAACAAGTATCTTGGATTCTCCTACAATCAGGCAAAAATAAGCAGCACTATATTAGAATTATCTTTCATTCCTCTTTCCTTCTACATAATAGAACCACCTCTAATTTTCTACCAATTCAAATAATTTTCCTTTCTATATCCGAACTTGATTAGATAAACAGGTGAAACAAGACTAGGAAAAGCTTTGAGTTCCAAACTGAGTCTACAGCTGTATGACCTAAGGCAAGTCATCAATTTCTATGGAGTGGGGTGGGGGAGATGCTTCTTAATAAAAGAAAGTGCCTGGTCTAGATAGCATTTCCCAGACTGTATTTTGCAAAACATAAGTAGGTATTTCCCACAGAAAAGGTTTCTATGGTTAAGTAATTTTGATAGCTGCTAAGGATCGTTTAAGGTAGGAGCTCCTTAAAGCGTTTAACATGCCAATATGCATTATAAATTTCCAAGAGAGATACAATAGACTGGCTTTTCCAAGTTTATTTTGGAAAAAAAATCCTTTTTTAAAATAATTGCTGTTAACTTGTTAAATTCTGTTTGCAAGAGTCTTGTGATATGTAGAAAACAGCTGGGAGAGTGCTCATTTAAACTACATCTGTAGCCTCTTCAGGGCTCTAACATTTTGTAACTCTAAAAACAGTGTATATTGGTTAAATTGAACCAGAAAAGTGACAGCCATGCAATGGTCATCATTATCATCATCATTACAACAGTTAATATTTATTAAGCACTTACATGTCAGGCACTGTGCCAACTATTTCATATACACTCTCATTTAATGTCAAAACTTTCCTAAAACATAGGTACCATTATTCTCATTGTCTAGATGAAGAAAGAATGGCTTAGAGATATTACATATTTGTCTAAGACAGAACTGGCAGTTAAATCCAAACAATCTGATTCTGAAGCCAAAATCCTAGAAACAAAGTGTGACTGCTGACCTAATCTTGGTACAGTGTCTCAAGTACTTTTCTTTAAAAATATGTATTTTAGAAAGTTACAGTCTACAGATAACCAGCAATATAATACATGTAAAATGCCAGGAACAGGGAATAGTTACATTTGAGAACTAAGGCATTGGTCTGATTGCAGTTTTCTGAAAAGTCATTAGGAGAAAATTTAAAACAATTTAAATAAAAACTGTGTATAACCATACAAATTTTAGTTATTGGAACAGGAGAACACAGATCCTATTGACTTATAACTTCCCCTAGAGTATTTTAGCACAATGTTTAACATATAATGGACAAGTGGCTTTTTCCCCCTTCCCTTCTCTAGATCACAGGTTAAGTAAGATAAAAGAAAGGATCTGGCAGTCAGGTTAAAAAGGGGCAGGGGATATTACCAAACAAACAAACCTAGTTCCTTGTGATGATAAAAAAGAAACAAGGCAGAGCATCTGCCTTCAAATAACAATTCAGTAGTTCTCAAATTTTTGTGAGCATCAGAATTACGTGAAGGGCTTGCTGGGCCTACCTCAGAGCTTCTAATTCAGAAGATGTGGAGCAGGGCTCGAGAATTTGCATTTTTAACGTTTCCAGGTGGACTGACACTGCTAATCTGGGACCTCAGTTTGAGGCCACTACTCTAATTCAACATTTCTAACCTTTTAAAACCCCATCCCCTTTGATATACATAAAAATCTTACCTCCTTTCTTCCTCTCTGACATTCTCTCCCACTCTCCTATACCCTCCACAGAAACAAACCCATTCATTTTCCTTCTCTTCAGAATCACCACTTTAATTTTCTTTTTGGTCAGTTTGTAAGCAGGTGAAAGGTAGTATGCTGATTTGACATGTACCATGGAGATATGCACAATGCTTTATAGTTTACAACTTACTTTCACATACAGTATATTTATTTAGCATTCATAATTCTGTTAAGTAGACTGGGCAATGCTTATTTTTTAAGGTAGTACAGTATTCATATCTTGATTAATTATGAAATGTCTTTCCTGCTCTCTCCTCTTTCCTATTCAAATTATTTTCTGACAAAAGAGGCAACATAACTAATGAAGGGATGTTGGCATAACACACTGATTACACTGATTCAATTACCAAAAAGAGCAATGAATATTATTATTTTATTTTACTGGCAAGGAAAACAAAAGAGAGAATTAGTGTCACAGATAGAGTTAATAGCCAGTTTATTTCATGACTACTACCCCCGAAAAGGATAGCAGAGGAGAGCAAAAGAGGAGGAATGGATGGAAACACAAATGCAACACAAGCATCAAAAGCAACTGAGGGGAGAAGCAGAGCTTTTGAACTCATTACAGATTTCATCAGGCCAGAAGTCACACTTTTGTCTTTTTCTAGAGTCTTGACTTTAGAATCAAACTGTCTGGTTTTAATTCCAAGTTCTGCCTGGTATTAGGAAACAACATGTATAATCACCATAAATACATGCCCCAAAGACCAACTGTTTCCAAATTCTTCTCCAAAAATCAATCTGTGATAAATTGGTTGGTTTCCAACACAAATTTAGAATTACATTAGATGTTCTAAAGATTACACATAATTCTTTCAAAGAGAATTTTCCCATTAAATTTAAATAGTGGTAAAATTTTAAAAATAGTTCTTCTTATTCTTACCAATAACAGCAGCTATGTTTTTTTGAACATCTGTACTGTACTAAATTCTGTGCTTGGTATTTGCCATATTTTACTTAATCATCCCAAATTTCTGTAAAAGGTATCACTTCTGTTGACAGGTTAGGAAACTGATACGCAGAAAAAGTAATGAGATTTCCCAGGGGTAGTGAGAGCTAGTTGAAGCCCAGAGCTGGCTGGAGATCTATCTGATGAAAAGGCCAAGCTGCTTCCCGCATCTTTATTCTGAACAGATGAACCCTTTCTTAACTGGATTGTTGATAACTACCTTATTTGAGGAAAGAAAAGGAATCACAAGCCAAGTTTCTAGAATATATAGCCTCTAATTCTCCATCCTGACTACCCGAATACGGTGACTACCTTTACAAGCAACAATTGGGTTGCTTTTTAAAAATTCAAAATAAATAATCATCATTGTCTTATTATAACAAATAACAGAGACTATATGCAGTTCTCATTATGATGTTTTCTTAAATCCTAACTGATAAACTTAAATGAGAGGCATTTGGTACAATCTGAAAAATATTCAGTTCAATTAAAAATAATTGATGCATGGTGAAATAATTCTTCCCAAAGCTGCTGTAAAATCTTCAAAAAAATAAAGCTACTTAATAATTTTCATCTCCTACAGGCTAGAGAGAAGCATTATTGCATATTAAAAATTGGAGTGTAGTTTTCCCAGAGGTAAAAGAAAGTTATTAAAACAACCTATTTATTGTTGATATAACTATCCATTTGTGCCACACAAAAAGTAACAAATTTCAGTACATTAAAAGAAAAGCTAATTAAGGCATAATTAGTATTTTCTGTATTTTGATAATTAGGGGTTAGTTGGCTATTCCTTTTCAAATTCCTATTTGATGCACCCCGACAATGCCTTTAATGAGCAACTAACGCTATTGTATCCCTCATGGCAGAGGAGTTTAGTGACCACTACTACATTACTTTCATTTATCACTGCCTCTTTACCTATAAATTAATCTAGCCCTGTAGCTATGTTGATCTACTTTATATCAATTTCTTCATCCATATCAGCTGAATATGTATGGCATTAACCTCATTTGCTAGTTGAGAAAAGCAGAATTAAAATGAGATCTAATTTCTCGTGCACAGCACAATTTCAAAACTGCCTGCTAATTTCCACCACCTGTCAGTGTGAAGCGCCTTTACTTTCTTATAATTAAATAAAACAGTATATTTTTTTACCAGCCCTGAAAAATGCTAATCTTTCAAAAGTGTTCAGTGATCATTAATCATTAGGACACTAAAGAAGCCTTATTCAGAATGCTCATTTATCCTTTGTTTAAACTGAAAAAATTTGTTGGCCTTTTCAGAGGAAGGAAAAAAATAAATGTACCAGATGGAATATAAAAATAAACTATTATATTCCACACTACTAAAGTTTATATTTATCTGGTTTACTGTCACATGCTGGCAAGACGCTTAACATTACATAACCAAGAGGTAGCTACTTTGATAAAATAAGCAGAAATATAGTAAGCCACAACTTTCGCTGAAATCAGTGGGAATCTAATAAATACACATTGCATTCATTTATGTGTAGTAGAATCTAAAGTTATAAGACAATATAGTATAATTGGAGAATAATTATTGATACCATATTTTTAAATTTTTATTCAATAAATTGCAAACTATGCTATGAATTAAATTGTTGCTTAAAAGTATCATCTGAACAATGGCAATACCATTCAAACTTAGACAATTATAGTTAAGCACTTTAACTTGGACTTTGCTGATTTTCCCAAATGTATATAACAAGTAGGGAAAATGTGAAAATATAAAAAACAAGAAAATACATGCTCATTGTTTTAGTACTAAAGACAATAAATATTTTGTCATATTTCCTCTGTCCTTTTGCTAATACTTTAGCTTTCATTGTTTGTTTTACATCTTTGTAATCATACTGTATACATGAAAGTTGATAGTCTGAAATTCTGGCTTAACAGTCATATATATTTTTCAGTAAGCCTAACTTCTTAACTTTCCTTCCTGGATATTAGATAAGAACATGAGTTAGCAAAGACCAGTATACATCTGAGGAAAAAATATAAAAACACACATACTCCAATACATTATTAAGATGTTTAAACTACTTAATACCAAGCTCTCAGGCTAAACGTATCTATTCTCCAAATACTAATTTGCCTTGGGAATAATATCCAATGATTATCTTCTTACACTTATCCTACCAAAACAGTATAACATATTAGTATAGAAGTGATTAATTAATATAGGGAACTTTTAAATAATCATGAAATAAATGATTAAAAATTAAATAATCCACAATATTCCTCATTCAGTTTTGCAGGAAACATTTGACATTAAAGGATCACTATCTTGAAACCTAAAATTCTTTTCGCAATATTTCGATTACAAACTTGTAGCTATTATGACTTATGTTTCCAAATGATACTCAAGCCATCATAATATATGGATGTTAAGCATTCACTGAAGAGGAAGCAAAGATGTGGGATGGATTATTTACACAGACTGAATAGCTTCAGCGTTTCTGCAGCACAAGTAGGATAGATTATATCTCATCCTGATTCCCTTCAAGCAAGATACTTAAGTCAATTATAAGCATTAGAAAATACTTCCAAGTATGTAGTATGAGATTCTCACTGACAACTATTTTTGACAAATAATAATTTTAGCACCACCATTACAGGTGAACATATTTCTAGTAAAAACTTAGTAGAGGGTTTGCCTATGACTTTATTACTGAAATACCAAAGTTACTGACGTGTATTCACACATGATCTTACTTTAAGCAACTTGAATATTTTTAAGATAGCAAATTCTACCCAAGACTCCGGTAAGGAAGGCTTCCCATCTTCATCTTACAAACTGGTTGCCAGTAGCTAGGACTATAGGTGCATTGCCACCATGCCTGGCTAATTTTTTTCCAGTCAAATAATGGCATATTTAATTTGGTACAAAAATAATAAACAGTAAGAGGTATCTGGCAGAGTCTCTGAATGTTCAACAACATCCATCCTTATTCCAGAAGCAAGAACTATCACATAAGTGCAAAGATCATGTATGTATAATACATATATAATGAACTGTAGACATAAAATTTTAATTATGAAAATCTTTTATCAGGGAAAATATGCATATTTGTGGCCCTAGCCTTCTGATTTGTGGACGAAGATTGCCTTGTTGATGATTTCCACAAGATCCAATGACTATTAAAAAAAATTACAGACTGATGGAGGGACTGGGTTTTCAAGTCGTAAAATTTAGTAACTAAAACCTCTTTCAAATTGAAAGTCTTCTTTAGTGCTGACAACTCTTCAAAGTACATCTACTTGGTATTTGGGTATTTAGTCACATACTACATGGTATTTCATTTATTATTCTTATTCCTAGAATCACCAAAAAAAAAAATCAAACACTAAAAGATAGGTGGAATACAGAAAACTTTTCTCTACCAGATGAAATTATCACCCTCTCCCTTACTTAAAAAAAAAAAATCAATCATCAAACTATAATTACTCGAGAACAATCCAAAAAGTGCCATTCACATCAGAATGCACGTGGAGTTTTACTTTGTGCATTTATCCACAGATACCGAATTTTATAATGATTGAGAATTTATAATCATTAAAAGTAAGTAGAAAAAAAGAGAGGAAAAAATAGAGTAAAAATATTCTGTGGGTAAGCATATATTTTATTAAGTAATCACAAAAAATCATCATCTTTGAATTCTTCCAGGATCTAGCATAGCACAAGGGAGAGAGTAAGTGTTTAATGTATATATAATTACATAACAAAATATAATTCTCACAAGATTTGATGTCAAATAATGGTATATTTGGTATGATAAATAAATAGTAAAAGTCAGCTTATTAAAAAAAAACTAAGCCCATATTTTTCCAATTTACTTCCTGTATTTCTCTAACTTACACCATAATTTTAATTACCAGTGGCTGCAAAGATTTTAACTAGATTTTTCTGCCCCAAACATCCTCGTCTAGTGCTTAATGCTCTTGCACCAACACTTAAATGCACTTATGGAATTCATTCTCAAAAGTAGAATTTGGCAAATCTATTTATACAGCAAAGACGTTTTTAAATAAAATAATTAGGCCTTTAGTCTAATTATTTGCTCAACTTTCTGTTAAGCAGGTATAAAATGTGTGTTTTTAAAAACAGTTAATATATATTACCATGTAGGATAAAAAAGTGGGAAGCGGTATAGAGAAATTATTTTTTTTTTAAAAAGGCCTATCTGAATACTAATGTATTATATATGTATTGAGCATATGACATGACTATTAAAATAACAAATCCCTGAACAATAAAACTATCTAGCAGTATGTACATTAACTTGAAATATAAGCACTAACCACTCACCAAGAAGGAAAACCTAACTAGGTCAAATTGTTATCTATTACAAAAACTGATTATGATATATTTATTCAGTATATGGTAGTCAAAAAGCAGCCCAGAAATAGTCTGAAAAGCTTTAAAACACTTAACAGAAAAAAATCCCTAAAGTCACTAAGCATTATTCTGTAACAATCAAGCTTCAACATATAATCTTAAAGGTCACAGGTGCCTTTCCCCTATAATCTACATGATATATTTGGCATGCTGAAATATTTAAAATGTTTCAATGTTTAGTGTTTAAAAGGTATTAAAGCTGCTACCTATTTTTCACCAAAGTGAAAATTCTATGTATGAAACAATTTGTTTAGGATGAACTTTCTAAACACTTTTCCCCCAAATTGTGTATCAAATACAAACATACAAGTTGCCAGTAATCAGAATATATCCAAGTACCATGAAACAGCAGCTAGTACATTATTTTAACATTGGATTGCACTTAAAGTTGTAGTAGTCCATTGAAGATACTATCATGAAATGTTTTTCTATTTCCTTATTCAAGTGTTTTCCTACTCAATTTAACAGTAACTGTTATTACAGTAACATACCATACAGGAAGACATAACAATTGCAGGGAAAGAATGCCATCTGCTGCTTCATATGTGTACTCAACAGTAGGAAAAAGGTTGAATAATAAGTAATTACACAAAACAATTTAGAAATCCATATACACAGATAAAGCTTGAAAGTTTAGATAATTCCCCGTTTTTATTTTGGACAATTTGAAAATACATCAATGAGAACTTATCTTTTAAAAAATTTCTAGATTTGCAATTATTATGGGTACATCACAGGTATATATATATATATGTTTATGGGGTTCATTTGATGTTTTGATAAAGGCATACAGTGTGTAATAAACATCAGGGTAATTGGGGTATCCATTACCTCAAGCATTTGCCATTTGTGTTAGGAGCATTCCAATTCTACTTGTTTAGTGATTTTAAAATATACAATAAATTATTGTTCACTATAGTTACACTACTGGAGCACTTATCGGCTTAATGCAAATTTCAAGTTATTCCACAAAAAAGATCTAAACATGCTTATATATCACTAGTTCATGACACTTATAAACAAGGCTTTTACTCAGGTACTGAGAGCCACAGAGTCAAAAGGAAAGGTTCACTTCCTGGCCTTTACAAACTTATTTATGAATTACTATATTATCCTCTTTAGAAACTTGTGGTTTATATGCAAGGAGATCATATAATTTATCATCCAAACAGAGACATTTTTGAGAATGAAAGATGAAGCTATTAACTAACAATCTGCCAAGACAACAAGCGTGAGCTGGGGAAATCTCAGGCAAATCTGGATGTATGGTAACTTTATTTATAAATTACTATTCTGTTTTCACTCCCTCTGGCTTCATAACCTTCCCAATGCCTTGAAAATCTTCCTGAAAAGCAATTTGGAAATTTTTAGGAAATATGTAAATTCAGAAGAATGAAGGCAAAAAATAAAAAGGAGGAAACTAGCATAGGTATACACTCCCAGACAAGATGGTACCCCTATCCAAGCAGCTACCACAACACATACTGATTTTTTCACTTCACTTTGTTATACCATTTGAATTATTTGGCACTAATAAATATTTTCTTTAGGAAAGGCAATCCTTTCCAGGAGAATTCATTTATACAATAGCATGACATCCTTCAATTGGAATGTTTTCCAGTTGACATCTGGCAGATGAAAGGTACTGGAAAGAAAGCAGATTTGCACAAGTGCACACACGTGTGTGTTTTCCTGTATACCTAGATGGTGATGAACAAAAGAGATACAAGGGATTTCACCCTTTGGTGGTGAAAGATTGAATAGGATATCAAAACAAGGAATGAAGAATGAGAGCAAAAATTTTGAAGATTAACTTGTCTATTTCAAAATTTAAATGGAAGAGAGAAAGGGAATTACTTCTTGCTCAATTTCTGGTATCCTGTTTTGGGAGGACAGAATTCAGGCAAATTCTATTATACTATGCTTGATCAGTATCACTGTTTATGGGTCTATTTTTAAAGGAAAATACATTCCAGGACCTTAACAACACGTATTTATTAATTTTTGGAATTTCACTCACTGATAAGGTTTCATAACCAACCAAGACAAAACTGATGTTTATGGTAGGGTAAGCTTGAATAAAGGGATTTAAGAACAAAGTTCAAAACTTCTAACTTTTGGTAGATATTCAGAAGCTAAGATGTGTGTGTGTGTGTCTGTGTGTGCATTTGTGTGTGTCTGTGTTTGTGTATGTATGTGTTTGTGTGTATATGTGTGGTTCTGCGTGTGTGTGTGCCTGTGTGTGTATATGTGTCTGTGTGTGTCTGTGTGTGCCTGTGTGTCTGTGTGTGTATATGTGTATGTGTCTGTGTGTCTGTGTATATGTGTGTGTCTTTGTGTGTGTGTCTGTATTTTAAAAGGACTCTTCCTTATCCATTTTTAAAACTTAAAAATCACATTTTAATTGGATTAAAAATTAAAATGGACCTTTTCTAATAGACATTTAATATAAAAAATAATACTTAAAATTGTTATCAATAAACTAAGATAATTTATAATTAGAGTAAATGGTGACACACCAGGTAACAACTAATGGATACAAAAATAAACAGGAAATACTGTAAAATTCTGATACAGTCTAAGAAATATTCTAAGAGTTTTAACGTTTTAAATTATACCCTAATAAATAGGTGATCATTTACATATGTATTTAACTATTAGCTACACTTTTTTTTTGTTTTTGTTTTTTGAGACAGGGTCTTGCTGCCTCATCCAAGCTGGAATGCACTGGTGTGATCACAGCTCACTGCAGCCTGAAACTCCTGGACTCAAGTGATCTTCCATTTCACCCTCATGAGTATCTGGGACTACAGCCGTGTGTCACCATGCCCAGCTAATTTTTAGAATTTTTTGTAGAGACAGGGTCTCGCTATATTGCACAGGCTGGTCTCAAACTTCTGGCCTTAAGTGATCCTCCCGCCTTATCTCCCAAAGCACTAGGATTACAGGGGTGAGCCACTGTGCCTGGCCTAAACACACTTTTGGTTAGAATATTTTATTCCATGAACATTCTGGAGTACTTTAATTATATGTTACTAAACTCCTGGGTGGGTTATCTATGTACCTCAGAAAGAAACCATACACCCGGATGACAAACTGGTCAGTCTGTAGAGACCTGAATTTGCTGTACCTTCTTGACTAGAATTCTGGTGCTCTAGACACAAGGTAGGCTGCATGTGACTGCTATGTGTCTGCTTTCCCAGACTTCCTACTCTTAAAAAACTCCTTCCCTTACATCAGTTATTTATTTATTTATTCAGTATTTGCTGAAAATCTAATGTTAGGCTCTGTAATGCTCACTGGGAATACCACAAGCCTTAGCTATACTAACCTATCTGGATTTCTTCCAATGTAGAGCTTTAAGGCTTTGCACATTCTGCTTCTACCTCCTAGAACAAGCATCCCATTTTCCTTCCTCTTCAGCAGCTTCAACTAATTCTTCTGGATTTCATTCAGGAATCTTCTCTCCCAGAAGCCTTTCTGATTCCCAAAATCTGGGTTAAATACACTGTCCCCTGTGTTTTCAGGGCACCAAACGCTTACCATTATTTTTTCATGCATAAAACTATGTTGTAATTGTCCAAATTTGTATTTCTACTAAAATTATACACATACATGATTTAAAAAGTAAAACAGTAATAAAAAACTGCCATCCTCTGACATACTCCTCTCCATATCTGATTCCAATACTCAAGTCAACCCATTTTCAACTCTTTCGGCTATTTCTTTTACTATTTTCATTCATTCTTCTAAATAAACAGGCAGACAGAGCTATTTCCTGATATAAGAATTTTTCACATTATCTTTTGACTCCCTAACATATTTATGATACTGTATTCATCATTCATAACTAAGTTCCATGGTACTATGATTCAATTCCCTTTTGTGCACAAATGTTTAGTTTGACTTCCTTTTCATTTACCTAAGTTTTATGTGATTCTATTTATTACTAGTTGACCCTCAAACACTATTCCAGATCTGTAAAACTCAATTCCTCTCAACCTGGTCCAAGACAGCAAGTAATCTATCAGTTCTTTAAAGAAAAATAACAAAACAAAACACCTATGACCTTCCATCTGCTCCAGTTTGAACTGGTTGCTCTCAAGGCCTGAGGCACAGCTGTTATCCGAGAGCTTCCCTTAGCCTCTCTCCTGTGTTTGATCCTCTGATTCTCAGATCCCATCTCTCCCTTCTTCCTCTTTTCTTGGTTTACTTTTTTAATTGAGTAGTATACAGTCTCCAGCAACTTCCTGGTAAAAGATATAAGAGAAGTAAAGTTGAGGCTTTGTCTGAGTGAAAAGGTCTTTATTCTATTTTCATACTTAAGTTTTACTGGATATACAATTTTAAGTTGAAATTCATTTTCTTTCTCAAAATTGGCAAGACAATGTTTCACTGTCTTCTATTTTAGTATTGCAATTGAGAAGACCAATGTAATTTTCATTCTTAGTCCTTTGAATGTAACCCCTCTTCTCTCTGGAAGCTTTAAGGATCTCCTCTTTTTCCAATCCTGATGCTGTGAATTTCCAATACTATACCTTAATATGGATCTTCTTTCACTCACTTTGCTGGAACTCTGCATAGTCCTTTTCAGTATGGAACCTGTTATCTTTCACTACAGGAGAATTTCTAGTATTCTTTCTTTTTCTCTTACTGGAACTCCCATTAATCCAATGTTGGACCTCCTGGATTCTCTATTTTCTCTCCTATTATCCAGTTTTATTTTAACTTTCTGTTCTGCATTCTAGGTGATATTGGCTACTTTA
The DNA here is from genome assembly GCF_000001405.40 of Homo sapiens. NCBI lineage: Eukaryota > Metazoa > Chordata > Mammalia > Primates > Hominidae > Homo > Homo sapiens. Next base: position 170,982,548 of record NC_000005.10, on the reverse strand, counting down.
TCTTCCAAACCTACTAAGTTTTAATTTCTTCTATCATGTCTTAATTCCAAAGAGCTCTTCTCTGAATCATCTTTTAACAAAATCCTTTTAATGGTTTTAATATTAATTCTGTTTTCCTCCAATTTCCTATTTTCTGTTTTTCTCTTTGGTTTTCATATGAGGTTTTCTTCAAGAGGCTAGCTATTGTCAATTGTATTATCAGAATGAGTTACTCAAAAAAGAATAGGAGCTTTATGTTCACAACAGGGCTTCTCATCCAGTAAACCTCACTGTAGGGTCATAAGCAGGCTGATTTTAAAATTGAGGATCCTATATATCTATATCTATATCTGTAGGTCTCTCTCTTGAATAAGCTTCTTCATCACAAAAGCATTTCACTAATTTCCTGCTTTGGGGTTTTAACCCTGGCTAACAGTTCATGACAACTAAGAGTTGTAAAGTGTCTAGGAATATTTTTCAGTCCAGTGTCTTATTCTTATCCCCTAGAACCTCCTGTTCAAACTTCCATAAAAAACTTCCTATCTCTTGCAAGAATTTCGGAGAGACAATCTCCAGTTGTGCTGGGACAGGTAAGCGTTCTGGGAATATAATTAATCCTAATTAAATCAGTTATCCTATTTTTAGCCACACCCCGAACTGCAGCATTCAAAGGTATCTAGAGTCTCCAAGTTCTGGGCTTTTCCAGGGTTCTTAGTGCAAATCACCTAACTACTAGCTTTCTTCACTGCAGGAATTTAAGGTTAGAATCTCTCAGGTACATTAAGACAGATACCGCTTATACATCTGGTTGCTAGTTTCAAGTCTCCTAACATACTGTATTAGTCCGTTTTCATGTTGCTGATAAAGACATACCTGAGACTGGGTAATTTATGAAAGAGGTTTACGGACTTACAGTTTCACATGTCTGGGGAGGCTTCACAATCCTGGCACAAGGCAAGGAGCAGCAAGTCACGTCTTACATGGATAGTGGCAGGCAAAAAAAAAAATGAGAGCCTGTGCAGGAAAACTCCCCCTTTTAATAACCATCAGATCTCATGAGACTTCCTATCACAAGAACAGCAGGGGAAAGACCTGCTTCCCTCCCACAACACGTGAGAATTCAATTACCTCCCACCAGATCCCTCCCACAACACACGAGAATTCAAGATGAGATTTGGGTGGGGACACAGCCAAACCCTATCATTCCACTCCTGGCCCCTTCCAAATCTCATGTCCTTATATTTCAAAACCAATCATGCCTTCCCAACAGTCCCTCAAAGTCTTAACTCATTTCAGCATTAACTCAAAGTCCACAGTCCATAGTCTCATCTGAGATAAGGCAAGTTCCTTCTGCCTATGAGCCTGTAAAATCAAAAGCAAGTTAGTTATTTCCTACACAAAATGGGGGTATAGGCATTGGATAAATACAGCCATTCCAAATGGGAGACATTGGCCAAAACAAAGGGGGATACATGCCCCATGCAAGTTTGAAATCCAGCAGGGCAGTCAAATCTTAAAGCTCCAAAATGATCTCCTTTGCCTCCATGTCTCACATCCAGGTCATGATGATACAAGAGGTGGGTTCCCATGGTCTTGGGTAGCTCCGCTCCTGTGGCTCTGCAGGGTAGACTCCCCTCTACTGCTTTCACAGGCTGGCGATGGCTTTTCCAGGTGAACAGTGCAAGCTGTCAGTGGATCTACCATTCTGGGGTCTGGAGAACAGTGGCCCTCTTCTCACAGCTCCACTAGACGATGCCCCAGTAGGGACTCTGTGTGGGGGCTCCAACCCCACATTTCCCTTCCGCACTGCCTTAGCAGAGGTTCTCCATGAGGGCCCCGCTCCTGTAGCAAACTTCTGCCTGGACATCCAAGCATTTCTATACATCCTCTGAAATCTGGGTGGAGGTTCCCAACTATAATTCTTGACTTCTGTGCATTTGCAGGCTCAACACCACATGGAAGGTGCCAAGGCTTGGGGCTTGCACCCTCTGAAGCCGTGGCCTGAGCTCTACATTGGCCCCTTTCAGCCACAGCTGGAGCAGCTGCGACACAGGGCACCAAGTTCCTAGGCTGCACACAGCATGGGGACCCTGGGCCCAGCTCATGAAACCATTTTTTCTTCCTAGGCCTCTGAGCCTGTGATGGGAGGGGCTCCCACAAAGGTCTCTGACATGCCCTGGGGACATTTTCTCCATTGTCTTGGGGATTAATATTCAGCTTCTCATTACTTATACAAATTTCTGCAGCCAGCTTGCATTTCTCCTCAGAAAATGAGATTTTCTTTTCTATCACATTGTCAGGCTACAAATTTTCCAAACTTTTATGCTGTTTCCCTTTTAAAACTGAATGCCTTTAACAGCACCCAAGTCACCTCTTGAATGTTTTGCTGCTTAGAAATGTCTTCCACCAGATACCCTAAATTATCTCCCTCAAGTTCAAAGTTCCACAGATCTCTAGGGTAGGGTCAAAATTCCGCCAGTTTTGTTGTTAAAACATAGTAAGAGTCACCTTTGCTCCAGTTCCTCATCTCCATCTGAGATCACATCAGCCTGGATTTCACTGTCCATATAATTATCAGCATTTTGGTCAAAGCCAATCAATAAGTCTCTTGGAAGATCCAAACTTTCCCACATTTTCCTGTCTTCTTCTGAGCTCTCCAAACTGTTCCAACCTCTGCCTGTTACCCAGTTCCAAAGTTGCTTCCACATTTTCTGCTATCTTTTCAGCAATGTCCCACTCCCAGTACCAATTTACTTTATTAGTCCATTTTCATGCTGCTGATAAAGACATACCTGAAACTGGGCAATTTACAAAAGAAAGATGTTTACTGGACTTACAGTTCCATATGGTTGGGGAGGCCTCACAATCATGGCAGAAGGCAAGGAGCAGCAAGTCACATCTTACATGGATGGCAGCAGGCAAATTAAGATAGCTTATGCAGGACAACTCCCCTTTATAGTAACCATCAGATTTTGTGAGATTTAGTCACTACCATGAGAACAGCATAGGAAAGACCTGTCCCATGATTCAATTACCTCTCACTGGGTCCCTCCCACAACACATGGGAAATCAAGGTGAGATTTGGGTGGGGACACAGCCAGACCATATCATTCTCTAATTTCTTCCTTGCAAATGTATTTTTTATTCCTCTACTCTCATTATGATACAGTTGCAAGGGGACAGGAGGGTAAATGTGAAATTTTAATTTGCTATATTTAACTAGAGTTCTTATAATTATTTCTTTTGCAAATTAAATATTTCAAATATAGAGAAAGGCATAAAATTTAATAAACACCCATGCACACCCACCATGCAGACTAAGAAAATATTACAGATATGGTTGAACTATGCCTTTTGCTCTAATCCATTCCTCTTCTCAACCAGAGATAACCATTATCCTGAATTTAGTGTTTACTAATCCCATGCACATATTATTTTTACCATAGGTAGAATTCATGAGCATACAATTTTCTTAACATATTTGACATAGGAATGTCATTTGTGTCCTTGTATGACTTTTTTTCATACCATATTGTGGATGGTTTTATAGAGTTACCCAAAAATAAACGTAGTTTTAGATCATTCATTTTCACTGTTATACATAATCCCACTGTGTAACAATACCGTAATTCATCCATTCTTCTACTGATAGGCAAGTTTCCACTTTTTTACACAATTACACACCAGGCTTCCATGAATCTTTTGTAAAAAAAATTAATTGAGGCAAAATATGAAGTGCACAAATCATAATATGAGCTCAGTGTCTTTATATATGTATACACTCATTTAAGCCCCATCAAAATAAAACATTTCAAGGTCCCCAGAAGGCTCCCTTAGTTCACTTTCCCAGTCAAAATATTCTCCCTACCCAAAGGTAACCACCATTCTGACTTCCATCACCATAAATTAGTTTTGACTGTTATAGAAATTGGTAAGTGGAATAATAAAATATGTACACTTTTGATCTTTTTCATTCTTCATCATAGCTGAAGTGATTATTGTAAAATCATCATAAATTCATCCAAATTTTTGCATGTAGTTTTTCTTTTTTTAAATCGTTGTATAGTATTACAGTGTATGAGTATACATTAATTTATTTATCCATTTGACTGCTGACAGACACTTGGGTTGTTCCCAGTTCTTGGATATTATAAATAAAGTTGCTATAAATATTCTTGTACACTGCATTTGGCAAACATATAAATTCATTTCTTCTGGGTAAATAAGAGTAGAGCTGATGAGTCATAAGGTAGACTATATCCAGTTTTAGTACATCGCCAAATAGTTTTCCAAAATGATTTTATTAATTTACACTGCCACCAGCAACAAATGTTATCATGTGTTCCACTCCATCATCAAGGTTTGATCAGTTTTTAAAATTTTTAGCCATTTTGTCAGATGAGCAGTGATATTTCACTTAGGTATTAATTAGTATTTCTCTGATGATGACTAATAATACTGAACACCTTTTTATATGCATATTGGCCATTTAGATACCTTTTTTCAGTGCTTGTTGAAATCTTCTGCCCATTTTAAAAGTGAGTTTTTTGGTCTGTTTTTTGGTAACAAGTTGACATATTCACCTACTATATAATTCACACACTTAACGTGCACAATTCAGTGTTTTTTTCTATGGATATGTGCAGCCATCACCACAATCAATTTCAGAATATTTCAACACCACAAAGGTATTTCATACCTTTTGTCCATGACTACCCAATCTCCAATAACCCCAGCCCTAGGCACCCAATAATCTACTTTCTATTTCTATAGATTTGCCTATTCCAGACATTTCAAACCACTGGAATCATGTGGTATTTGTTTTTTTGTGGCTGGCTTATTTGACTTAGCGTAATGTTTTCAATTATCATACTTGTTACGGCATCTATCAGTACTTCATTCCTTTTTATGGCTGAATAACATTCCACTTGGGGAAATACCAAATTTTATCTATCCATTCATCAGCTAATAGACATGCAAATTTTTTTCCACTTTGTGGCTATTGGAAATAATGCTTCTGTGAACATGTGTGCAAATGTTTATGTAGAGTGTAGTTTCCATTTTCTTGGATATATACATAAGAGTAGAAATACTGAATCATGGTAACTCTATGTTTAACCTTTTGAAGAACTGCCAGACTGTTTTTCAAATTGGTTGCAATATTTTACGTTCCTTGCAACAGTGTATGAAGATTCCTATTTCTCCACATTCTCACTCACAATTGTTATTATCTTTTTTTTTTAATCATATTCATCCTAGTGAGTGTAAAGTGGTATCTATTTCTGGCACTGACATGAATTTCTACCATAAATAATGATGCTGAAGATCTTTCCATGTCCTTGTTGGCCATTCATAGATTTTCTTTGGAGAAATGTCTGTTTAGATCTTTTGCCCATTTAAAAAACTGGGTTATTTATCTTTTTATTATTGAGTTATAAGAATTCTTTATAGATTCTAGATGCGAGACCTTTATGAAATATATGATATGCAAATATCTTCTCCCATTTTTGTAGGTTGCGCTTTCAATTTCTTGATGATGTCCTCTGAAGTACAAAAGTTTTTAAATGATGAAGTCCAATGTATCTTTTTCTTTAGCTGCTTGAGCTTTTGATGTCATAGCTAAGAAACCATTGTCCAAAGTCATAAAGACTTACTTCTATGTTTTAAGCATTTTATATTTTTCTCACATTTAGATCTGATTCATTTTGAGTTAACTTTTGCATATGGTGTGAGAGAGAGGACTAACTTCATTCTTTTGAATGTGAATATCCAGTTGTACCAGCATCATTTGTTGAAAACTATTCTTCCACTACTGAGTTATGTTGATGCCCTTGTCAAAAAATCACCTGACTACAAATGTGAAGGTTTTTACCTGGACTCTCCATTCTATTTCATTCGTTTATATGTATATGCTTACCACACTGTCTTACTATAATTACTATAACTTAATATTATTGTAAGTAACAACTTATTGCTGCTTTGTAGCAAGTTTTGAAATTAGAAAGTGTGAGTATTCCAACTTTGTTCTTGGCCAAGATTGTTTTGGCTATTCTGCGTTCTTTTAATTTCACACAAATTTAAGGATAAGCTTGTCAATTCCTGCAAAGACAACAGCTAAGATTTTGGTAGAGATTGTGTTAAACCTGTAGATCAATTTGAAGAGCACTGCTATCTTAACAATATTAAGTCTTGTAATCCATGACCATAAGATATCTTTCCAGTTATTACATCCCCTTTAATTTGTTTCAACAATGTTTTATGATTTTCAGATTATAAGTTTTACACTTTTGTTAAATTTATTCCTATTTAATTCTTTCTGATTCTATTATAATGGAATGTTTTGTTCCTTTTGTTTTTGGGTTGTTTATTGCAAGTGCACAGAAATTCAGTCGAGTTTTTGTATTAATCTTATAATCCTGCAAACTTACTGATGTTATTAGTTCTAACAGTTTTTCAGTGGATCCTTAGGATTTCCTATACATAAGATCATGTCATCTGCAAGTAGAGATGTAATCCCTTTATTCCTAGATTCCTTTTTTTTTTAAATCTGGATGCCTTTTTGTTTTGTTTTGTTTTGTTTTTTGCCTATTTATCTCAATAGAACCCCTAGTACAATATTTAATAGAAGAGAAGGGAGTAGCCATGCTTGTCTTACTCTCGATCATAAGAGAAAGCACTTATAAGATGCTGGAATCCATTTTGGTGTTTCTGTTTGTTTGTTTTTTTGTTTTTTAGCTTTTACATCTATATTAAGACCCTAGTACTATTCAAAGGACAGAGAGAAAAAGAATAAAAAACAAACAGAGCTGCAGAAAAAATGCGGGAAATTCGTATGTTAAAATCTAATTTCCAATGTGATGGTTTTAAGAGAGAGGGCCTTTGGGAGAGAATTATAAGGGGGATTAGTGCCCTTATAAAAGGTGCCCTTATAAAAGTGGCAAAGAACCTAGAAGAATTGTTTGTGTCCTACTGTTTTGTAAAAAAGAATTTGTAAGGAATGATATAGAATATTTGGCTGAATACATTTCTTTCTTTTATTTTTTGAGACAGGAGTCTCACTCTGTCACCCAGGCTGGAGTGCAGTGGCGCAATCTCGGCTCACTGCAACCTCTGCCTCCCAGGTTCATGCAATTCTGTCTCAGCCTCCAGAGTAGTTGAGATTACAGGCACGTGCCACCACGCCTGGCTAAATTTTGTATTTTTAGTAGAGACAGTGTTTCACCATATTGGTCAGGCTGGTCTCGAACTCCTGACCTCAGGTGATCTACCCACCTCGGCCTCCCAAAGTGCTGGGATTACAGGTGTGAGCCACCACGCCCAGCTGGCTGAATAAATTTCTAAGCAAAATAATGGCTTGGTTTCCCTTGAATGTTTATAATAATAAAATGTGAGAAGAAAAATGATTTAAAGACAAAATGGTCAATCAAAAGGAAAGAGAACTTAAAGGTTTGAAAAATTATCAGCCTTTCCATATTGTGAAAAATGAGAAAGTATGTTCAGGAGAGAACACAAAAGGTGTGCCTGGACTGGCAGGGACAAGGAAAAAATGACCCTGAAAGTGTATCACAGATCCTTGGGGCTGTCTCTCATTCTGTCTCCCAGGCCCAGAGCGCAAGGGCCTGGAAGAAAAAATGATTTCAAAGGAAGGGCCATGGGTACTCACAGGACCCTAGCACTTGCTGCCTGGCCCTGCCTTAATACTCCACTCCCCACATTCTCATGCAGTGCTCCTTGGCTGCCCCAGGTACAGTTCCATAGGCCCAAGTGCAGCCTAGGCTAAAGTGATTACCCCTTCAGAGGGCATAGAGAGTAAACACTGGTGGCATACATGCAGTACCACTTCCTCCAGCTTGCAAAATGCTCAAGCCATGGGGGTGTGGCCACCTCCAGTTCCAAAAATAGAGCTGCCTGGAGCTTCAGCTGTACAACTCAGAGGGTTGCTGGAAGGACAGGGCCACCAGAGAAAGTCCCCACTATGGCAATGCCTAGTGGAGTCATGGGGGCAGAGTCATTCATCTCTGGAACTCTAGACTAAAAGAGCCACTGGCATGTGATTCCATCCTGGGAGAGCAGCAAGCACCCAACTCCAGTATATGAGAACTCTACCACCTAGAGCCTTGGGAGCCTAATCCCTACCCCAGTGTGTTCAGAAAGTAGGACATTAAGTCAAAGAAGATTATTCTGGAGCCTGAAGATTTAATGCTGCCTTATTAAGTTTTGGACGTGTTCAAGACCTGTCATTTCTTCCTTCATTCCTGTTTCTCCCTTGTGGAATGGCAAGGACTACCCTGTGTCTGTCCCACCATTGTATTTTGGAAGCATATGATGTTATCTGATTTAACAGGCTGACAGCTAGAGGGGTAATTTGGCTCAGAATGAATCACTGTGGAGTCTCAACCACATCTCATTTAGATGATATTTACATGAGACTCTAGGCTTCAGACTTTGGAGCTGATTGTAGGATAAACTAAGACTTTGGGGACTAAACTAGAATGGAATGGCGTGTTTTGCATATGAGAAGGACATGCACTTTGTGGGGCAAATGTGAAATGCTATGGTCTGAATGTTTGTGTCCCTGACAAAATCGTATGTTGAAATCTAATTCCCAGCATGATGATATTAAGAGGTAGGGCCTTTGGAGACAATTAGGTCATGAGGGCAGAGCTCTCATGGATGAGACTAGTGTCCTCATAAGTGGTCTGAGAGAGTTTGTGTGCCCTTTCCACTATGTGAACACACAGAGAGACGGCACCAACTATGAAAACAGAAAAGGGCTCCTACCACACACAAAATCTGCTAGCCTTGATCTTGAACTTCTCAGGCTCTCAAACTGTGAGAAACAAATGTTTGTTGTTTATGGTATTTGTTAACAGCAGCCCAGAGGACTAAGACCATGTTTACTGGCCATTGTGATTTCTTCTTCTGTGAAGTGTTTATTCATGTATTTTGGCCATTTTACTAGTAGGTAGCTTTTCTCTTATTTATTCACAGAAATTATATAACCGAATGTTGATTCTCTATAAGTTACATGTATTATGAATGTATTCCTACAGCTTTTCTTTATTACTTTGTCTATTGTGTTTTCTGATTCACAGGAGTTTTTACTTTTAATATAGGTAGAAGTTACCAACTTCTGAGTTTAGAGCTTAGCTTTTTTATGTCTTAAAAAATTCTTCCCTATCCCTAAATCATAGTATTCTGCTTTTCATATTTAGAGTCTGTCTTCTACTAGAAATTGATTTTTGCATGATATGAAGTCTTAATCCAAATTTTCACATACAGATAACCAAAAATCCCAGCAGTATGTATTTAATAGTTTGTCTGGTCTTCATTTCATCATATGCTGTTTAAATGCATATATGAATCAATTTTATAATTTTTTTTCCTTACTTGTCCATGTTCCCTTTAACTAAAAACTTACAGGGGAGATGGATGATCCTATTCACTTTTGCATCCCTGGCATTAATACATAGTGGTTACTTATCAATAGTCACTGAGTAATGAACAGGAATAAACCAAAGGAAAAAAGACAGCAGCACATATGAATCATGTCATAAAGTGGAATGAAAAGAAATGATTTCAAAGGTAGGCAAAGTTTCATCATAAGCAAGAATTCATTTTATAAGTAACGAGAAACCAATAAAAAAATTTAAGCAGAAAAATTGCACAGGAAAAATTTTTCTGAAAGACTGGCAAAACTTAAAGTCTGACAAAAGCACATATAATGACAATAGAAACAGACACCTACCCTGGCTGGGGGAGAGGAAATAAGCTGTTATAACACTTAGGAAGGCAACCTAATAATATCTAGTAAAGCTTAAGATATGTACATTTTACAGCCCAGCAATTCTACTATTTATCTTCACAAAACTCTTACATATGCATGAGGATGCAGACATGAGAATATTTACTGCAGTATTGTTTGTAAAAATTGAAAATCTGGAAACAATCTAACATATCAATAATAAAATCAATGTATAATGGCATAGTGATACACTCTAATACCACTCAATAATTAAAATAATTAGAACTATATGTGTCATTATGAATAAATCTCAAAAATGGTAATAAAAAAAGATGAATTCTGGTCAGATGTGGTGGCTCACGCCTGTAATTGCAACACTCAGGGAGGCTAAGGTGGGTGGATCACCTGAGGTCAGGAGTTCGAAACCAGCCTGGCCAACATGGTGAAACCTCGTCTCTACTAAAAATACAAAAAAATTAGCCAGGCGCGGTGGTGCATGCCTGTAATCCCAGCTACTTGGGAGGCTGAGGCAGGAAAATCACTTGAACCTGGGAAGCGGAGGTTGCAGTGAGTCAAGATGGCGCCATTGCACTCCAGCCTGGACAGCAAGAGCGAAACTCCACCTCAAAAAAAAAAAAAAAAAAAAAAATCCTAAAGATCCAAACTGCATAATACTTTTATATAAAGTTAACAGTGCTGTGTTTTGTTTATATATACACAGAAATGTAGAAAAAGTACAAAATCATGGATGAGAATAATACTAAATTTAGGACAGTGGGGCAAGAAGCTAGAGAAGTGAAATCAGAGCAGCAACAGGATTATTCATGTTTAACTCAAAAATATACAGATCTGAAGCAAATATAGCAAAGCATTAAGACTTGACAAAACTGAATGATGGGCATATGAGTGTTTATTACATTATTCTTTGGTTTTCTAATAAAAAAATACTCCAGTGGCAGTATGGAAAATAGAGTGGAGTGGGGAGAAGCAAAATGGAAACAAAGAGGGCAAGTAGAATACTTTTGAAATTCCATAGGAAATAACAAGCAGTGAAAGTGAGGCTAAAAAGAAAGGGGCAGAAGAAAGGAGTACACCTGAGAGATACTCCAAAAGTAAAATTCACAGGATTAGGTGACAGATTGGATACAAGAGGTACAAAAGGGAAATTCAATGTCATTCTTCTTTAAAATATGGGAAGTAGGAAGACAGAGTTCTAAAAGATAGTGAGTTCCTTTTTGGAAATAAGTTTCAAGGGCCCATTCAACATCCCAGTGGAAAGATCCAATAAAAAGGAGGCAATATACCAAAGTGGTCAGCAGCTCAGGCTCTGCAGTCAGGTGCCTAGGGTTCAAATCCAGGTTGAACCACTTAAACACATTGGTTAACCCCTCTAAACCTCAATTTCCATGTCTACAGAAAGGAAGGATTTTAACAAAATCGCTATTTTCATAGCATTTTTGTGACAATGAAATTATATAATGCCTTTCAAGTTCTGAGCAAAGTATTTGACACAGACTTGTTGCTCAATAAATGCCTATGGCTACTATTTACAACATTCTTTCTCACATATAGGACTTCTATCACATACATCACTTAGGACACTTTAGTAATTCCACCTTGGTTCCTGAAGAACTTACTTCTATAAATTATATTCTGTTGTCTATACAGGCTTTTATAAAATGTTCAAGATGCTTAATATTACACCTTATTTATAACTGCTGAATAATTTCACTCAAGTCAGCATCATTTTCCAACTCAAGAATATATCCTTTATTACCTGAAAGTATTATACATGAGATCTAGGCCGAATTCCTATAGAATTCTATTAAATACACACATTCAACAGTAAGTTGAAAGCATACAAACAATACATACATGCCAGGCTCTTTCAGATAACAATAAACAAGGCAGAAATAGTACTAACCAAAATTACAGTCTATTCACTAACAAGTAATTACAAAGCAGTGTAATAAATATTAAAACAGGGAACAAATGGGTGCTACAGAACACAGACAAAACGAACACTCTCAGAATTTGAGAGTTAAAAAGGGGATACTAAAGGATGGGGTCTCTGATAACAATAAGTAGTTGGCAGAATAAGGCAGAGAAGTAAAAGATGGATTTAAAAAAAATAGTGTCTTAACCCATTCATGCCTGAGGTTGGAATTTTTTAAATTTTTGCAATCAGACCTTGATGATGACCTTGAGCAGTAGGATATAAATAACTCCCACATGCTTAGCGTTCCAATAATGGAACACTAGGCATAATTAAGCAGGGGAAACATTTTCTTCTAATACCTGGAATTAACAGAGAGCACAGACTGCTGAAGAACCTGAAATAAGTTTACCACATATAAAGTATGCAGTGCAAGTATGGTGTACTGAAGTATGAAGCTGGTGACATATGCCGAAAAGAGATTGGGAAGAACCTTGAAGTCATACTCTACATGATACAATTAAATGAGACTGCTCAAAAGTGCTTAGCACAGTTCCTGGTACAAAATAAGCACGCATTAATTGTTAAACATTCATTTGCTATTATCTAGTATTCTCCCACTTTTTGCCACAATTTGGAATCAGACAATACACCCACCAAGAAATATGTTCCACTCACTCTTCCTTACGTAGTTGGTTGCTAAAAAAATTGTATATATAGTACTTACGAAATGTCTTAGAGAGTCTGTTCTTTCATTAGTAAAATGAGGACATTAATACCAACCTTGCAAGCCTACTGTAAGGAATAAAGCTAGCATGAAGAGTACCTAGGAGAGTGACGGGACACATAATTAAGGACTTCTGAAAATGATTTCTATTAAGACAGATTGGCAGGTAAGTCAGAGAAACCAAAAAGTAGGAAGATTTAGTTTCACTCTGGGGTTATGCAATAGAAATGCCTTAGAAATTTTGTCACCTTAGGACTAACTTCCTTTAATAGGGTAAGATACACACACCAACAATGTTAAAGTTACAATAAAGGAGTCAATACCATTCTGGTGATGTGTTTACTTTTTCCTAAAGTGCAAGCTTTTTCAAAAACGAAAAACTAATCTGTAATTCGCTTTTTTTCACAATTACCTTATATTAAAAGTTTTGAAACAAAATCCGAAATCCCATAGCCCTAAAACAACTAGTCTCATTTTACATAGTTCCTTCCAGGTGCCTTCAAAACAACACTTAGAAGGATTTTCTACTCCATATTATACTGTTTTGATTTAAGACCTACACCAAATGGATACTGTATTAGCAATATTTTGAGAGTAACCCTTTTGCAAAAGCAAAGATACTCTCTGGACATATTAAACAAGAAAATTTATCATCATTTGATTTATATTCAATCTTCAAGTATCACATCTGGGATTATTAAAAAGGCACTCTGTTATATAAATTTTATAGTATGTAATTATTGTCTGATTCTAAGTTGTCTTACTGACAACCTAAAACATTTATTTCTAGCTACTCTTTTTCTTCCAAATGGTCTCATTTGGTGGCAGCTAAATTCTAAGAGAATTTTATTGATATTAATCCTAAATGATAATATCATAATATATTTGAGAAAGAAATTATAAAATGGCATCATTTCCTTAAAAAAGAATATTTTACCTGAAATAAACTAAAGGATAATCTTAAAATCAAACAAAAAATTTTTTCACACTACTACACAATTATTATTATCAGAAAATCCTAAGTAAACTGAAGGTTACATTTCCTAAGATAAAACAGCTAAAATGAGTATAAAAAGTTTATTTTAGAATTTTCAAATAAAAAATCCTACAACATCACTAAAACAAACTAAGTTCAAATGAAATGAGAATATCCTTAGAACTTCTTATGGCGAAGATTTTACTCAGTGTCAGTATCTAATGCTACTAAATATCTGCTTAGGTTTCACATAAATGCCCTTAATAATCTTTCATTATACTTTAAGATCAAGTCATCTTAACTTACTGATGCTAAACATTCAATTATCATACTATGAGTATTCCTAACATTAAGGTTATATGCAGTCTCCTAAGGACACATCTAATTTTCCTAGTCCTCATTATTTAATCATGTACAAATGCCAAGAAATTAGTGAAATATACTAGAAGCCACATAAATAAATAAGTGTCCAAAAAACCCTGGAACTACTAAAAAAGCAAATCTTATGCTTTCAGTCTTGAAATACAATAAGGCAAAATTGATTAGTGTTTAAAATAATCTCAACTGTTTAATGACCATCCATGTAAAACATATTCATTACCTCTCTGCCACTCAATCTTTAAAGAAAATGGTAAACTAGGTATAAAACAAGCAACTTAATTTTACATTGCACTTCATCACCAATTCATCAATTCATTAATCAATTACACGTCTTATGTAGAAATTTCCCAAATATATCATTCAGTTATATATGTACATCTTTCTTCATCCCCAATAACATGTTTTAAACTCTCTAGTAGAAACCTACCTTTGAGGTTCTTTGAAGTTGATCACCAACATATGTTTTACGAAACTGATCCAAGAACCACAGAATTGCAAGCTCTATTTTCTCATTACAACATCGAGGCAATCCGGTATCCATTAAAGATATAAGCTGAAAAACTCTTCATGAAGGGAAAATAAAAAAAAAACCTTCAGTACAAAACCTTAGAGAAACAACATTAAAACATTTACCATAAATGTAATATAACATATAATCACTGTAAAAAGTGGGAAAATAAAAAAATATAAAGAAAATATTTTTTGAATCATCTGAAATCCTACTACTGAGAGATATTACTACTTGGTCTAATTCATTCTAGCCTTTTTTTCCTAAGACATACACATACATGCATATAGATGCAAAACTCTGTATGTATATACAGATATTATTTTACTAAAAACTGATAAAATAAATGCATGGCATACACATAAAAAACCCTATACTACAGTAAAAATTTACTATAAATTTTTAGTAAAAGAAGAAGGATATTAAGTATGTAGTCTTGTATTTCACCTTTTTACTTAATCTTGTATTTCTAAATAATTAAATATTTTGAGGTCATGACTCAAAGTTCAAAAAAATATCAAGAGGTACATCTAACAAAAGTTATATCCTGCCCTTAATGAATAATAAAATTTTACCTTAAATAAACTACAAGGTGATCTTTACAAAATCAAATATTCCTAACAGCAGTTAAACTATTATTAAGAGAAAATCACAACTTTTCTATTATTATTCAAAACTATTATTATTAGAAAATTATAAATGAACTGAAGATTATGTTAAATTTCCTACAGAAAAAGCTTAATTCAATATAATGAAAAACTTAGTGCAGAACCTCAAAAAAAATCCTTCAATATTATCTATTTTCATTAAAATTTTCTGGTGGATGACCGCCAAGTACCTTGTGCTAACAAAATGAATATAATATAATAATTTTTTGAGACAGAAGTAGAGGTTGTTGAGGAAGCAGTATCCTTTTCTAATTTGCACAAAGGAAGCTCTGTCTAGGCCTGACCCACCCAGTTTCTTCCATATATGCACACATGAACATATATACACACATTATTAATAGTTTATATGTCTTCCAGAGAATGTTTTATGTATGTACAGGCAAATATGACTACAGATTCTCCTCCCAACCCTTCTGAACACATAGAACATATTATCCACATGGTTCTAAGCTTAGCTTTTTCCATTGAACAATGAATCTTAGAGCTCTTTACACATCAGACATAAGGAGGTTCCTCATTCTCTTCTGAAGCTGCTTAACATTCCATTATATGAGCATGGAATGTTCTTCCATTTCTTTGTATCCTCTTTTATTTCATTGAGCAGTGGTTTGTAGTTCTCCTTGAAGAGGTCCTTCACGTCCCTTGTAAGTTGGATCCCTAGGTATTTTATTATCTTTGAAGCAATTGTGAATGGGAGTTCACTCATGATTTGGATCTCTGTTTGTCTGTTATTGGTGTGTAAGAATGCTTGTGATTTTTGTACATTGATTTTGTATCCTGAGACTTTGCTGAAGTTGCTTATCAGCTTAAGGAGATTTTGGGCTGAGACAATGGGGTTTTCTAGATATACAATCATGTCATCTGCAAACAGGGACAATTTGACTTCCTCTTTTCCTAATTGAATACCCATTACTTCCTTCTCCTGCCTAATTGCCCTGGCCAGAACTTCCAACACTATGTTGAATAGGAGTGGTGAGAGAGGGCATCCCTGTCTTGTGCCAGTTTTCAAAGGGAATGCTTCCAGTTTTTGCCCATTCAGTATGATATTGGCTGTGGGTTTGTCATAGATAGCTCTTATCATTTTGAGATACGTCCCATCAATACCTAATTTATTGAGAGTTTTTAGCTTGAAGGGTTGTTGAATTTTGTCAAAGGTCTTTTCTGCATCTATTGAGATAATCATGTGGTTTTTGTCTTTGGTTCTGTTTATATGCTGGATTACATTTATTGATTTGCGTATATTGAACCAGCCTTGCATTCCAGGGATGAAGCCCACTTGATCATGGTGGATAAGCTTTTTGATGTGGTACTGGATTTCGTTTGCCAGTATTTTATTGAGGATTTTTGCATCAATGTTCATCAAGGATATTGGTCTAAAATTCTCTTTTTTGGTTGTGTCTCTGCCCGGCTTTGGTATCAGGATGATGCTGGCCTCATAAAATGAGTTAGGGAGGATTCCCTCTTTTTCTACTGATTGGAATAGTTTCAGAAGGAATGGTACCAGTTCCTCCTTGTACCTCTGGTAGAATTCGGCTGTGAATCCATCTGGTCCTGGACTCTTTTTGGTTGGTAAGCTATTGATTATTGCCACAATTTCAGAGCCTGTTATTGGTCTATTCAGAGATAAAATGGCCATACTGCCCAAGGTAATTTATAGATTCAATGCCATCCCCATCAAGCTACCAATGACTTTCTTCACAGAATTGGAAAAAACTACTTTAAAGTTCATATGGAACCAAAAAAGAGCCTGTGTCACCAAGTCAATCCTAAGCCAAAAGAACAAAGCTGGAGGCATCATGCTACCTGACTTCAAACTATACTACAAGGCTACAGTAACCAAAACAGCATGGTACTGGTACCAAAACAGAGATACAGACCAACGGAACAGAACAGAGCCCTCAGAAATAACGCTGCATATCTACAACTATCTGATCTTTGACAAACCTGAGAAAAACAAGAAATGGGGAAAGGATTCCCTATTTAATAAATGGTGCTGGGAAAACTGGCTAGCCATATATAGAAAGCTGAAACTGGATCCCTTCCTTACACCTTATACAAAAATTAATTCAAGATGGATTAAAGACTTACATGTTAGACCTAAAACCATAAAAACCCTAGAAGAAAACCTAGGCATTACCATTCAGAACATAGGCATGGGCAAGGACTTCATTTCTAAAACACCAAAAGCAATGGCAACAAAAGCCAAAATTGACAAATGGGATCTAATTAAACTAAAGAGCTTCTGCACAGCAAAAGAAACCACCATCAGAGTGAACAGGCAACCTACAAAATGGGAGAAAATTTTCGCAACCTACTCATCTGACAAAGGGCTAATATCCAGAATCTACAATGAACTCAAACAAATTTACAAGAAAAAAAAAAACAACCCCATCAAAAAGTGGGCAAAAGACATGAACAGATACTTCTCAAAAGAAGACATTTATGCAGCCAAAAGACACATGAAAAAATGCTCACCATCACTGGCCATCAGAGAAATGCAAATCAAAACCACAATGAGATACCATCTCACACCAGTTAGAATGGCAGTCATTAAAAAGTCAGGAAACAACAGGTGCTGGAGAGGATGTGGAGAAATAGGAACACTTTCACACAGTTGGTGGGACTGTAAACTAGTTCAACCATTGTGGAAGTCAGTGTGGCGATTCCTCAGGGATCTAGAACTAGAAATACCATTTGACCCAGCCATCCCATTACTGGGTATATACCCAAAGGACTATAAATCATGCTGTTATAAAGACACATGCACACGTATGTTTATTGTGGCACTATTCACAATAGCAAAGACTTGGAACCAACCCAAATGTCCAACAATGATAGACTGGATTAAGAAAATGTGGCACATATACACCATGGTATACTAGGCAGCCTTAAAAAATGATGAGTTCATGTCCTTTGTAGGGACATGGATGAAATTGGAAATCATCATTCTCAGTAAACTATCGCAAGGACAAAAAACCAAACACTGCATGTTCTCACTCATAGGTGGGAATTGAACAATGGGAACACATGGACACAGGAAGGGGAACATCACACTCTGTGGACTGTTGTGGGGTGGGGGGAGGTGGAAGGGATAGCATTAGGAGATACACCTAATGCTAAATGACGAGTTGATGGGTGCAGCACACCAGCATGGTACATGTATACATATGTAACTAACCTGCACATTGTGCACATGTACCCTAAAACTTAAAGTATAATAATAATAAAATTAACAACAACAACAAAAAAACATTCCATTATATGAATACACCATAATATTTTCAAACATTCCCCTATTGATGGACACTAAGGTTGTTTATAATTTTTTGCTGTTACAAAATGCTGCAATTAACAATCTTGCATATGTCATTTCACACATGTCCATCTATAACACACATTTCAAAAAGTCAAGCTACTCACTCGAACAGCATAAATTATTATAATTTTGATAGCTATTACCAAAGTGCACTCCATAAAAATTGAAATAATTTATACTCTTACCATCACTCCATAAGAGTGTCTATATACACACAGACAAGATAATTCAGGATGACAGAAAATTAGAATTTCTGGAAAGTTGAAAAACGGCATCTCGGTGTATTTTAATTTGTACACCTCTTATTTAGGCGAGGTTAAAAATTTTCCATGTCATTTTCTGTGACCCGTTTGCTCATATCCTTTCCTGATTTTTTTTCTATTTGGCTGTCTTTTAATTACTGAGTTTTACAAATTATTTATATATCAGAGGGTTGACCCCTTTGTCTATAATTGAACTGTAAACAATTTTGTGTTTCATTTGTCTCTTGACTTTATGACAAGGGTCCCCAAACCCTGGGCTGCAGACCGGTACTAGTCTGTGGCCTGTTAGGAACCAGGCTGCACAGCAGGAGGTGGGCAATGAGCAAGCAAGCATTATCGCCTGAGCTCCGCCTCCTGTCAGATCAGCTGCAGCACTAGATTCTCACAGGAGTGCAAACCCTACTGTGAACTGTGCATGCGAGGGATCTAGGTTGTGTGCTCTTTATGACAATCTAATGCCTGGTGATCTGAGGTGGAACAGTTTCATCCTGAAACCATCCCCTGCCCCGGTCCATGGAAAAACCATCTTCTACTAAACCAGTCCCTGGGGCCTACTGCTTTATAATGTTTAATGCCATGCAGAAGTTTTTGTTATTGTTTTTCTCATGCAGAAAATTTGTTCAATTTTTTCTTTCATGGATTTTGCATAATAGCAAGGTCTTACCTGAATCAGGTATTTTTGTGATTCTTGTTTTCTACATTTACCTCTATGATACACTGAGATTCATCTTGATTATACAGTGTGAGACAAGGAGCTAACATTATTTTTTAAAGATGCCTACCCAGTTGCTTCAAAACCATTTATTTCCTGTACAGACTATCTTTTGTTCACCATTATGAAGTATTTATCATATATACTAGGATTCACTTATGCATTCAGAACACTTACTGAACCTTTTATTCTTTTCTACAATCCATCACACTAAATATATCTTGACCAATTATTTTTACCATGTTATTAAATAATTTTCCAAAGCACTGTTTTTAATGGTTGCATAAAATTAAGGCTACATCAAAATTTAATCATCTTATTTTGGATAAAAATTCATATTTCTAAGTAAAACATAACTACTTTCCCCTCCTTTACCCTCAATGACTTCTCGAAACAAAACGTCTAGGTCACAGCATACGAAAATTTTTAAAAACTTGCTACGTATTGCCAACATGTTAAGAAAAAATATTTTGACAAGCGTTTTTATAGTGATTATTTCCTATATTTATAAATAAAGCTACTTATTTAAAAGTACCCTTTGCATACCAAATATTCTCAGTACTGCTAAGATTTATGGAGAACTTGCTGAGGAATTAGATTTAAGAATTAGATTATTATAAACAGGTTTTGAGGTTTTTTTCCTAATAGGATGTGTGATACGTTTATCTTCTAATTTTGAGATGAGGAGTAAAGCTAAATTTTAAAATCTGTGTACTGGTGAATTAGCAGATTACTGGAGTAAGTTTTAGTTAAATAAATAGATATATACATCAAATTTCATCTCTGGAGCCAAGTGATTTGTCAAGTGACTTAAATAAGGTGTATCTTGTTTTTAAATTCTTCATTGCATAGGATCTCCCTTCTCCTACTCAAGTTCTGTGTTGATTTTATGCACTTTCTCTTGTTTACTTTTATTTCCTTTTTATAGCACACATTCCCAAATTCAAAGAAGATGTGGAACAAAAATTTGTTGGGGTGCCTTTACAACTCATTTTAAGCTGGTGATCTGCATTTGCCTAAGAGGCAATGACATCCCCACCAGCAAGAGAGTAGGAATGAGTTCCCAGCAGGGTACACAATCCATTTGTCAAAGAAGTTTTAGCAGTTGTACTGGTTCAGCTGCAAGTGTATGAAATCCAAAATAACAATGGCTTACATAATATAGATGTTTATTTCTCTCTCAAGCAAAAATCCAGGGTAGTTCCCTAAAGCTAGTTGGTGCTCCAAGATGTATCAGGGGCTCAGGTTCCTTCCATCTTGTTGTTACACTTGCCTCCACAAGCACTCTGTGGTCTGAGGTAGCTTTTTCAGCTCCACCCATTACATCTACATATATTACACATAACACGTTCATTTACACTAAGAACATAATCACTTTGCCATACCTAGCTGCAAAACAACCTAGAAAATCTGGTCTTTATTCAGAGTGGCCATTTGCTCAAGAAAACAATCAAGCACTTTATTATGGGAAGGGAAAGGAAGAAGAGATGAAAGACAATTGACAGTCTCTACCACAGTGCCCTCTGAAGATGTGCTGCCACCTCTAACAAGTGTATAAGACTAATGCCTATACATACCAATATATACAGGTTAAGTATTCCTTTTGTGAAATGCTTCAGATCAGAAGTGTTTCAGATTTTTAATTTTTTTGAAATTTGGAATATCTGCATTATACTTACCATCTGAGCATCTCGAATCCAAAAATCCATAATCTGAAATGCTTCAATGAGCATTTCCTTTAAGCATGACCTTTGAGATTCATGTTGATGCTCAAACTGTTTCAGATTTTGAAGCATTTCAAATTTCAGATTTTTGGATTAGGGATGTTCAATGTGTATATAATATCCATTCCCAGTTTCAATTTATTGTCCTACATGTATTATTCGTTTATCTTAAATTATTTCTGGTAAAAAGCACAGAATAAAAAGATAAATAATTTTTGATCCAAGTATAAGCATGCCATTTCAAACACAATGAAATGAATTTTGGATAACTGTGCTGAATTTTCCTAGGTATCCAACTAAATAAGCATTTATTCAGTCAACAAATTTGAGGGCCCACTATACGTCAGATATGTGTCAGGCATTCAAAATACAACAAAGTACAAGACCTATATATCCCCAGTCCTCTAGAAATCTATAATCTATCAAGAGGAAGATAAAAGAAGCAGCTGGAATAAAGAATGACAAGTCCTATAACAAATGCTATTTCCTAATATTCTAGGACGAACAAGGCAAAGCCATAGTGTTGCGACAAAAAGGAAAGCATGTGTAGCCATCTAAAGGGGCAGGGGGCCGGGTGCAGTGGCTCACGCCTGTAATCCCAGCACTTTGGGAGCCCAAGGCAGGCAGATCCCTTGAGGTCAGGAGTTTGAGATCATCCTGGCCAACACGGTGAAACCCTGTCTCTACTAAAAATAAAAAAATTAGCCAGGTGTGGTGGCAGGAGCCTGTATCCCAGCTACTCAGCTGTATAATGTTCAACATGGCTATAATGTAGTGAATGGCAGAAAATGAGGCTAATGGGACAGGCAGGAGCCAGATAATGAACAGCCTGATAAGCCATGTTGTTCATCTTAAAAACAATGACGTCATTGCATAGTTCAAGCCAAGCATTGACATAATCAGATCTGTACTTTAGAAAGATTACTCTGGCTGCAAAAGGAAGCAAGAAGTCCGTTTAAAAACTTACTACTAATCCAGGTGAAAGATGATAGTAGCTAAACTGGCAGAGGAGATAGGATAGGTGGACTAACTGAGGTAACTAAAAGATAGAACTGACAGGACTTGATGACTATATGAATGCTAGAGAGAAAAAGGGAAAAAGTTAAGGATAACTCTCACGATTCAGGCTTGGGAAACTGAGTGTATGATGAAGAGACATGTGAAGAGAGCCAGGGTTAGGTGATGGAAAAGATGAGTTTAATTTTAGTCACTGAATTAGAGGTGCATGTGGGATACAACATCCCAGTGAAACAGCCCAATAGGTGTTTAGAAGTCAGAAGACAAGAATTACTGAAACAAAATAGAATCACTGAGCAATGCTGAGGGCCTAGTTGAGGTTAAAAACAACAAGTGACAATGGGTCCTATCCACAGAAGTGTGCAATTTCTGTTACTATCACTCAACAAATTAGAGAAAACCCTAAATTCCCTCAGGGTTAAGGTTTTGCTACACAGAGGAGATAAAATACAGCAGTAAGCAAAACAAAGCTTACTCCTTCCCTTACTCTAGTAGAACAAACAACATCAAGAGGTAATAAGTACTATCAAGAAAAATAAAGTGGGGTAAGGATGCTATTTTGGATAGGGAGGTCAGAGGAGCCCTCTTTGAAAAAGACATCTGAGTACAGACCTGACTGAAGTGAGGAAGAATAGTTTGCCCTTGAACAAGACAGGTTTGAACTGTGCAGGTCCACTTATATGCAAATTTTCTTGCGCCTCTGCCATCCCTGAGAGAGTAAGACCAACTTCGCCTTCTCAGCTTTTAAGCCTACCCAATGTTTAAGATGAAGAGGATAAAGACCTTTATGAAGATCCACTTAATGAACAGAAAATTTACTTTTTCTTCCTTATGGTTTTCTTAGTAACATTTTCTTTTCTCTAGCTTCCTTTGTTAGAATACAGCATAGAATACATATAACATACAAAATATGTTTTAATTGACTGTTTATGTTATCAATAAGGTTTACAGTCAGCAGTGGGCTATTAGTAGTTAAATTTGGGGGGAGTCTAAAGTTACAGGCAGATTTTCAACTGTGTGGAAGGTTGGTGCCCCTAACTCCCACATTGTTCAAGGGCCAAATGTACTATACAAACATCTGGAAGAAAGTATTCTTAGCAGAAGAAAGAGAAGTGCAAAGGCCCTAAAGTGAAAACACACTGGTAATACTCAAAGGACAGCAAGGAGGCCAGTGTTAAATGGGAAAGGGTAGGAAATGAGGTCAGAAGTAGCACAGGATACTCTGGGCCATCACAAGGGCCTTGAAATTTGTCTCAAGTGTGATAGGAAGCCACTGGAGGCTTATGGGTAAGAAAATGGGAGAAATATTATCTGATCAGAAAGCAGCTGAAGTTATTTATATAATAGCAGGGTTTGGGAGAGAGAGGAAAACTCTGAGCTAGTTATTAAAGTCTTGATAATGAGGGATGACTGGGAGATGGGTAGGTGAGAGCAATGAGAGACACAGGGTGGCACAGCTAAGTAGAATAGGTCTGAAAGAAGCTAGCACTCAATCTACTAGCACTAGTGGATTACATTTATGCCTAGTGTTCCATTATTGGAACGCTAAGCATGTGGGAGTTATTTATATCCTACTGCTCAAGGTCATCGCCAAGGTCTGATAGCAAAAATTTTAAAAATTGCAACTGCATACATAAATGAGTTAACAGGATGCATGATGAATAAGACAAAATCCCTGGAGAATCTCTCAAGAGGTTTTCATTTTAGTCATGATGAATGAAACTAAAATGACTATAAATGTCTTTATTTAATTAGAATTATGTGGCCTGAGTGTAAATATATTTATTTGCTATGTTTAAAGTAGCATGTTTCAGTCATAATTATAAATCATCACAATGTTAGGAGCTTTTATGACTCTTCAACTTTTCATGCCAAAATAGCACATGAAGTTTTGGCAGGAGCTTCATGATCTTCTAATTTGGTAGTGTTCTCTGAGGAGTTGGAATGCTATTATATATAACTTATAGAAAGTCACAGTACTGTAGTTCCAATTATTTGGAACATCTTCATATGAAAGTGATTTTTTTTGTAATTTTACGTAAGACATCATTCTTAGTTTAGAATCTCAATATTCTAAAATACATATTTATTTCCAGACTGTTGTGTAAGTCCTAGAATATGCCCCACCTTGAATTTGCTTGGCCCTGCTTGCACACCCACCAACCACACTATCACCTCTCACCTCACCCCTGGCTTCAGCCACTTGTCTTGTAGCCCCAGAAAAGACTCTCACAGTTTCTGGAGTTATGTATCTTCCCAGAAAAGAGAGACAAACCACCATTCCTGTTCATAACTCTAACAGGACCAATTAAAGCTCTGTCTTCCCAGCAGCTCCTCAAAGAGGCCAGGAAACATAACTAAGAAGTGTGGAAAAGTGAAATACCCCAGGAGTAGACATTAACCAGTAAGAAACGAGACACAGAAAGAAGCCAATGGATATACTGCTTGTCCTTACTCCCCCAGTCATGAGTTGTTCTGAGGCACAAGTGGTTTCGTGTGGCCTCCAGGGAAAATTCCTATAAAAGCAAGCAACCAGTTGTATTTTCTCAGTAATACACCACCTTACATAGTTGGTTCTCATTATTCATGGTAGTTATATTCTGTAGTCACTGTGAACACTGAATTAGTGAATAATGAACCATTGCTCCTAGGTAAAATACAGGATTAGGTTCCTGCAAGCCTCTGGTGACAACATTTTGGTCAATGGATTGCAATCTTGTTTCATGTGTATTTCTGTTTAGAGAGGCTTTTTCAAATATGTTGTTGACTTGTTAACACTGAACTCACAGACTACTGCAGTATTCACAGTACTCCCACTGGTACCCAAACAAAGCTAATCTAACCCATGTATGGCACATGACAGCCTTCTTGTATTTAAGAACACTAAATAGCACTTTAACAATACAGCTGGGCGATTTTAAACACTGAAAGCACCAACAAAAAGCACAACAGTATGAAAAATGTGGCTCTAAACAGAATATAAAAAGGGCAATTATTTGCAGTACAAGAGCTGAAACAAGGCAGAGTATCACCTTGTTCAACCTCAGTTGGGAAAGTGCAACACAAAACTCAAATTTTTTCATCCCTAAGCACATGTCTGCAAATGACCACAAAAGCACCATGAGTACTGATTTTGGGATTAGAAACACATTTTATGAAGTAGGCAAATTCACAAAAAATGGAATCCAGGAATAATAAAGATTGACTGTATTTGTTTTCTCTTATTGTCTCACTTACTTTCCCTTTCCTCTTATTCTTTCTTCTCTAAAAATGTACTCTTCTCCCTAACCTCCAGAAAAATATTGGCCCATGAACTTCACCCAAGGCTCTGTTTTCCAGGGAATGCAGGCCAAAACACAAATCTTAGTTCAACATGTTCAATACGTTTGCTGCTTAAATAAAAAACTAATATTTGTTTCTCATTGGCAAATATATACCTACTTTATTTCCTAATATACGTTTTCTCACGAGATAGTGGCAGTGTGCGCGTGTGTGTGTGTGTGTGTGTGTGTGTGTGTGTGTGTTTTGAGACAGAGTCTCGCTCTGTTGCCCAGGCTGGGGTGCAGTGGCACGATCTCGGCTCACTGCAAGCTCTGCCTCCGGGGTTCACGCCATTCTCCCGCCTCAGCCTCCAGAGTAGCTGGGACTACAGATGCCCGCCACCACACCTGGCTAATTTTTGTATTTTTAGTAGAGACGGGGTTTCACCGTGTTAGCCAGGATGGTCTCGATCTCCTGACCTCGTGATCCGCCCACCTTGGCCTCCCAAAGTGCTGGGATTACAGGCATGAGCCACTGCGCCCAGTCGTTTATTTCCCTGCTTGATGATTAAACTTAAAAAAAAATCAGCTGGGCACAGTTGCTCACGCCTGTAATCCCAGCACTTTGGGAGGCCAAGGCAGGCAGATCACCCGAGGTCAAGAGTTCGAGACCAGCCTGACCAACATGGAGAAACCCCATCTCTGCTAAAAATACAAAATTAGCCAGGCGTGGTGGCATATGCCTATAATCCCAGCTACTCGAGAGATTGAGTAGCAAATTTTTTGTTTGGTTGAAAAGTAACTAAAGCACTTTAAGGAGGCCCCAAACACCTGTTATTCATATTTTCAAGTAATTCAATTTGATATAGAAAATAATAAGTCTTAGAAAAACTAAAAATATTCATGGTCCATGAAGATTCACATTTTATTGAAGAAATAGTTTAAAGGTTGAAAAGGAAATGGAACAAAATGAAATTTTTTATCCAAAAGTACAATAAATTCATTAAGCACTTAGAAATATATTTAATAATAAAAATGAAGGAGAATATCACAAGTAGGTATAACAATTTTAAGGTCTTTAATAGGGTAAAAATATATAACAATATACTTCTAAGATCAATGGAAAAGTATGAAAGGCCTGAAAAAAGATGAAATAATTTTGTGTAAGATATAAGTGCCACTTCAAATCAGTAGAGGGTAGGATTGGCATTAATTGGAAAATTTGGAAAAAACATATGAAACCAAATATCAAGATATATTAAAAATAAATATAAAAAGCTATTAATACCAAAGACAGCTGGGAGAAAATACAGGTGGATATTTTCATTAATCAGAAGTGGAAAAAAAATCTTTCTAAATATAAGCAGCAGAGAAATATGAAGGAAAAAGTCCATAGATCTGAATACATAATATTTAAAGCCAGTAAAGAAGAAATTTCTGAAGTAAAAATACAGAGAAAACATTTTCAAAATGAGGAGCAAAATATTAAGATCTCTGAGATATATATATATATATATACAGGAATTTTAGGTTGTTCCTCAATTTTTGTTATTATAAATTACTTTTAGATATAACTAAATTATTTTTAATTATATCTTTATGTAGATTGAAATAATTTCATTAGAGTTCGTTCCTCTACAGAGTTCATTCAGTGTATATATATATATATATATATATATATATATATACACTGAGCATATATATATATATATATATATACACTGAGCATATATATATATATATATATATATATACACACAGACTGAGCATATATATATATACACAGACTGAGCATATATATATATACACAGACTGAGCATATATATACATATATATATATACACACTGAGCATATATATATATATATATAGATATATATATATACTGAGCTCTTTCAAATAAGTTAGAAGAGATCATCACAAAAGAAAAGCAGGTAAATAATATAATCAATATAGATATAAAAATCACAAAGAAAAAATGGCAAAGCTAGGAGTGGAAAAGAATGTTTGATTCTACTAGTAACCAAATAAATACCAATTGAAATAATACATTTGTTACCTATAAACTGGCAACAATATGAACCCTACTATCTGGCAGTTCAACCACTAACAAATGTTAACTATCATACAATTTGGGTTCAGCACAGTGGTCCCCAACCTTTTTGGCACCAGGGACCAGTTTCCTGGAAGACAATGTTTCCATGGATGGGGTTTGGGGTGGTGTGGGGTGACGGTCTCAGGATGAAACTGTTCCACCTCAGATCACCAGGCATTAGATTCCCGTAAGGAGCATGCAACCTAGATCCCTCACATGTGTAGTTTAGGGTTCACCCTCCTATGAGAATCTATGTCCCTGCTGATCTGACAGGAGGCGGAGCTCAGGCAGTAATCCTTGCTCACCTGCAGCTCACCTCCTGCTATGCAGCCCAGTTCCTAACAGGCTGTGGACCAGTACAGGGGTTGGGGACCCTTGGTTCAGAGGATACATTGGTCCTTTTTCAGAACACCGTGTGGTATTGAGTATTGAAAGTCTTTAAAATGCTACATAACTTTTGACCAGCTATTCTGCATTTAGGAACGAACTCTAATGAAATTATTTCAGTCTACATAAAGATATAACTAAAAACAATTTAGTATATCTAAAAGTAATTTATAATAAAAAAAATTGAGGAACAACCTAAAATTCCAAAAACAAGGAATTTTCTAAATTTAGAAAATTTAATGTCCAGGTAAAATGTTGATATTGCATTTGATTTTAAAAAGTGGTGTTGAGGTGGGTGGGTGGGGTTGGGGTGTGTGTGTGTGTGTGTGTGTGTGTGTGTGTGTAAAATATACCACTAATTGCCAGGCACTGTTCTAAGCATTTAAAAAAATAAATTCCTTATAATAGCCCAAAATAAGTTAGGTATTATTATTAGCTCCATCTTACATTGTTTTGTAATGTTTAAGAAAAGTTGAAAAACACACATGCAGTAAACATACACCCATACACGTTAATTAAAAAGACTCAAACGGACTTTACAAAATAACAGTAGTGGTTATCTCCAAATTAGTATATAATTTTTATTTTCATTTGAATGTTTAAGTCTTCAATAAAAACATGTATGACGCTGTTATAAGGAGATTTGTTATTAAAAATAAATTAAAATATATGGAAAATCAATTCACTTGTATTATTCATATATAGAAATTTTCCTCAGGTTAGAATAGAAACTTGAAGAGAATAATTCAACTGCTTTTTCCTAAGACTGTGGCCAATAGGTGACAAAACCTGCGATGGGTAACTGACTACCTAATACTTTCTGATTGGATGTATGTCACCCAATTTTGCCACCTTTCCAATACACACCAACTGTATGTGCTTGCTCACATCCTAAGTAATAAAAAGCAACCTAAATCTTTATCACATTATTTGCACAAACATGTACAAAATATTTTGAGTCTATCACTTATTAGAGATTTGACTTCTACAAATCATTTAACCTTTGAGCCTTGGTTTTCTCACCAATAAAAAGGGAAATAATACCTTCCTCAAAAGGCCACATACAAAATGTCTTCACTCATAATACTAGTTCAATAACTAATTTTTTTTAACTATTTAGTGAATTTCAGTAAATTACATAGCTCTTACTTACCGACAGGATAATTCTCCATCCATAGCATCATGCTCATCTGTACTGGTATATGTTAATCTTCCTCCTACAACTGTCCCAACTAAGTATACCAGCCATGCAAGACGTCCTAATATAGAATAAGGAAGAAAAAAGTTTAGTAAGTATTCATAGAAACGTAGCTTATCTTGGGGGAAATTCCAAAATCAGCACAATGATCTGTTCTTCCAAATGAGTGATAAATTATTGTGAACTCAGTTCTGGATAGAAAGCAGATCGGTTTTAAGTTTATCAAGGCAGTAGAACACTGAAAATGGCATAGAATTTAGAGCCAAATAAAACTAATTTGAATCCCAGCTCTACTAATTTGCTATGTGATCTTGCATAAGTTACTTATCTCTTTAAGTCTTAGGGTTTTCATTTGTAAAATGGAAAAAACAATGTCTACCATGAAGACATGACTGAAAATAAATTTGAGTACAAAACACTAAACTGTCTAGGACCAGATCTGTTATTCAGTCAGGATGTACTCTCATGATCCAAGGACCAGCATCTTTTCTGAATGGTCAATGTCATGATAGTACCAGTGTGATCATTTTAAATATTTCCCCTGCTTGGAACATAATAGATAGTAATAAATTTGTTCCTTCTGTATTTTTATGCATGATGTATTAAAAAATCCAAGATTTCACATTGTTTGATGGTAGAGTTAACTTCACAGCTGATAGTAGTAGAGGATTAAATAGATTTAAGGCAGTGGCACAAATGGCAACATCTACAGTTTTCATAAATCTTACTTTGGGGGCAGCTGAAATTGACTAATTTAGAAATGGAGGTATTTATTCAATGATTTTTGCTTAAGGTATATTATTTTATATCTCTGGATTCATTGATCTAGGTGATCCTTCAGTACTTTTGAGACCTTTACAAATAATTAACAACATAAAATTATCTTGCTAAAAACAAATTTTATGCTATTCTTGGAGACTGATTTTTCAAAGATGAGAGGGCTATTTCATAATACTGAAATCAATTGTTTCTGATTAAGAAACGCTTTCAAGTAAAAATGTTTTTTTAAAAGGTATGGAACTGAATAATGAAGAAAAGAGGCTATCTGCTTGTTAGAAGACTCAGAAAGGACAAATAAAAGTTAGAAAAAGAACAAATTCTTTCTGTTCTCCCATGGATACTAGCAGTCATTATTATACTACAATTAATCAACAACTCTTTTATAATTTTTGGTGAGACATATCAACCTATTAGGGTGACAAGATTCCTGTAAATTAGAAATCTAACCTGGCAAGTATTCACATCCTTTATTCTCTCACAAAACAAAAATAAACCAGAACTGACCAATTATACAGCCTTATACATTAGGAATGTGAAATAGATTAAGTAGGAGAGTAAGAACACTAATTTGATCAAGTAATCCACTGAAAAACAGACTCAAGTTTCATGACATACAATTCATGAAAAACGTAACAGATCAAAAACTTCATGTAGGAAGCTGAAAGTATCCAGAAAGTTACCTTATGAATTTCAGTGTTTTAGGGTCAATATAAAAGTCTATCATAGAAGCTCTACTCTGATGACCCTGCTTTCTCTGTAGGCTCTATCAAGTGGTAGCTGCTTTTTCTTCCACTTCTCGTGTATCTTGGGCCTTGAATATGGAGTAGGTGATCTTCACGTTCCTCATTTCTACTTAATATTTTCTCTTTCTTCATCATGAAAGCATTCACCTTTACATCTTACATCATCAACAACACTAACAAATATCCCTTCTTATTGCAATTATCTACTCTCCTGCAGATTATTTCCCCCTGTTTTTTGAAAGTATTGGTTCTTGGCTGTCAGTCTTTCCAACAATATTTATATCATAATCACTAGTGATTTCAATATCTACAAAGATGAATCTCACAACTCCATAATCCTTTGTTTTACTGGGAATCTTCAATCCATGAGCCTATCACTTTTTGAACAGCTTCACTGAAATATAATTCACATACCATACAAGTAACCCACTTAAAGGATATAATTCAATGTTTTTTAGTAAATTAACAGGGTTATGCAAGCATCACCACAATCTAATTTTAGAACATTTTCATACTAGCTGTCATTCTGCATCCTACCCCCATGCCCCTAGCTTCTAAACAACCACTAAGCTACTTTATGTCTCATTAGATTTTCCCATTCTGGGCAATTCATATAAATGGAATCATACAATAAGTGAGTGTTGTGACTATCTCCTTTCAAGTCAGCATAATGTTTTCAAGGACCACCCATGTTTTAGCACATATCAATACTTATTTTTCTTTATAGCTGAATAACATTCCATTGTTTGTATAGATCTTATTTATTTTTATTGATACACCATATTTGTTCATACTTGTGGGGTACATGTGATACTTTGTTACATGCAAAGAATGTTTAATGATCATGTCAGGGTATTTGGCATATCTATTGCCTCGAGTATTCACCATTTCTGTGTTGAGAATAATTCAAATCCTGCCTTCTATTTTGAAATATGGAATACACTGTTAACTATAGTTATAGTTACCCTACTCTATCAAACATTAGAACTTATACCTTTTATCTAACTGTATGTTTGTACTCATTAGCCAACCTCTCTTCATCCTGCCCCACTCCCCAGTCCACCCACACACCATTCTCAGCTTCTCCTATCATTCTGTTCTTTACCTCAATGAAATGAATTTTTTAGGTCCCACATATGTATAAGAACACATGGTATTTGTCTTTCCGTGCCAGGCTTATTTCACTTAACCTCCAGTTCCACCTATGTTGCTGCAAATGACACGATTTCATTCTTTCTTATGGCCTAACGGTATTCTACTATGTATATATACCACATTATTTTATCCATCCATCAACGGGAATGTAGGTTGATTCCATATCTTTGCTATTGTGAACAGTGCTGCAATAAACATGGAAGTACAGGTATTCTTTTAACATACTGAACTCTTTCCCTTTGGATAAATGCCCAGTATTGGGATTGCTGGACAATACGGTAGTTCTATTTTTCATTTTTGAGAAATCTCCCTATTTTCCATAATGGCTGTTTTAATTTACATTCCCACCACCAGTGTGTAAGAGTTCCCTTTTATCCACATCTTTGCCAGCTTCTGTTATTTTTTCTGTTTAATAATAATCATTCTGACTGGGGTAAGATGGCATCTCACTGCGGTTTTGATTTGCATTTCCCTGATGATTAGTGATGTTAAGTATTTCTTCATATACCTATTGGCCATTTGTATGTTCTCCTTTTGAGAAATGTCTATTCATGTCATTTGACTGCCACTTATTTGAGTTATTTTTTTTTTGTTTTTGTTTTTTTTACTGTTATTTGTGATCCTTGCATATTCTATTCCTCCCTGGTCAGTTTGCAAATATTTTCTCCCATTCAACAGGCTCTCTTCACTCTGTTGACTGTTTCCTTTGCTGTGAAGGGGCTTTTTAGCTTAATATAATCCCATTTGTCTATTTTTATGTTTGTTGCCTGTGCTTTTGAGGTCTTAGCCATAAAATATTTGCATAGATTAATGTCCTGAAGTGTCTCCCCATGTTTTCTTCTAGTAGTTTTATAGTTTCAGGTCTTAAGTCTAATCCATCTAGATTTCATTTTTGTATACGGTAAGAGGTAGAAGTCCAGTTTTATTCTTCCACATCTGGATATACAATTTTCCCAGCACCATTTTATTAAAGAGGGTATCCTTTCCCCAATGTATGTTCTTGACACCTTTGTCAAAAACCAATTGGCTGTAAACATACGACTTATGGGTTTTCTATTCTGTTCCATTGGTCTATGTGTCTGTTTTTATACCAATACCATGCTGTTTTGGTTACTATGGATATATCACATTTCATTTACCCATTCAGTTGATGGAAGCTTGGATTGTTTCCATCTTTTGACTATTATAAATAATGCTGCTATGAACATTTGTGTACAAGATTTTATGTGGATGTATGTTTTCATTTCTCTTGAGTATACTTAGAAGTGGAATTGCTGAGTTACATGGCACCTCTACTTTTCACATTTTGAGGAACTGCCATAATGTTTGCAAAAGCGGCTGCACCATTCTACATTCCCACCAGCAATGTATGAAGATCAAATTTATCCAAATCTTTGCCAACACTTGTAGTTTTCTTTTTTATTATATCCATCCTAGTTGGTGTGAGGAGGTATTTCATTATAATTTTGATACGCCTTTCCTTAATAACTAAGGATGTTGAGCATCCTTTCATATGTTTAGTGGTCATTTGTGTGTCTTCTTTGGAGAAATGTCTATTCAAATCCATTGCCCATTTTTAAGGGTTGTCTTTTTCATTACTGGGTTGTAATAATTATTTATGTATTCTAGATGCTAATCTCTTATCAGTCATATGATATGCAAATATTTTCTCCCATTCTGTGGGCTGTACTTTCTTGATGGCATGCTTTGATGCACAAAATTTGCAACTCTGTTTTATCTAATTTGTCTAATTAATTAGATAAACTCTGGTCTATCTAATTTGTTTTCTGTTGTCTGCTTCAGGTGTCATATCTAAGAAATAGCTGCCCAACCCAAAGTCACTTAAGATTTACTCGGTCACCCAGGCTGGAGGGCAGTGACAAAATCATAGCTCACTGCAGCCTCTAAATCCCAGGCAAAAGTGATCCTCCCGAACAGCTGGGATCACAGGCCCACATCAACATAGCTACCTAATTTTAAAATATTTTGTAGAGATGAGGTGTCTCACTAGGTTGACCAGGCTGTTCCTGAACATCCTGGGCTCAAGTGATCCTCCTACCTTGGCCTCCCAAACTGCTGGGATTACAGGCATGAGCCACCGCACCCAGGTCCTATATGTCTGTCTACCTGTATGCTGGTACCAAACAGTCTTGATTACTGTTGTTTTCTAGTAAATTCTGAAATAAAAAAAAATATGAGTCTTCCAATTTCATTATTTTACAAGATTATCTTGGCTATTTTGGGTCCCATGGATTTCCATATGAACTTTAGGAACAGTTTGTCAATCCCTGCAAAAAACCCATGGGATTTTAAAGTGGATTGCACCGGATTTGGAGATCAATCTGAAGAGTACTGCCATCTTAACAATATTAAGTCTTCTGATCCACGACGATGAGAAGTCTTTCTGTTTATTTATATCTTTAATTTCTTTCAACACTGTTACAGTGTCGGTATATAATTCTTACACTTCTTTTTAAAATTTATGCCTAAGTATTTTATCCTTTTTGATAATACTATAAATGGACTTCCTTTCTTCCTTTCATATTCAATTGCTGATTGTTAAAAAATAGACATACCATTGATTTTATTTATTGATCCCGTATCCTGCAAGTTTGCTGATCTCTTTTATTAGTTTTTGGGAATCTGCCATTTTTTCACTCTCTCTTATACCCTTCACATATTATCTATCCTAGGTACTTAGCTTTAATTATATGGTCAATCATTATCATCTCTGCCTTGCACTTACATTTAGCTCCTCTTTTGCTATGATATACTCATCTTACAAAACCATGACTGTTTATGTCCGATACACCACTACTCTTTGCCAGTACTCACACAGTTTAATATAACTGGGGAAAGATACAACTATGCTGACCAGTCTTACTTGATGTCACCTTCTCAGACCTTACCAAGATATCCTATCAATTTTCAATACTTAGCATGGTAGTCTGTCTTCAAATACTCATCACCAATTCCTTCCATGTATGTATATGCCATCAAGAGGTGGAGTTTATTCTTCCAATCTTTGGAAATTTGTAACTGCTTTGACCAATAGAATTTGGTGAAAGTGACGCCATCCTAGTACTGTGCCTAACCTTTACAAGAACTGGCAAATTCCTCCAGTCTCTCAGAGAATGTTCACTCTGGGGAAGCCTGCCACCATTTAAGAAGACCATATACCCTGAGACCATTATACTATTAGGAGGCCCGAACTAGCCATCTGGAGAGATTGAACAGAGAGAGAAATGCCCAACTAGATAGAGTATACACTCTAAGCATTCCAGCACACACACCAGACAGGTGAGTAAAGAAGCATTCAGGCAACTCCAGCCCCAGCTGTCATCTGATTACAATGACTGAAAGACCCCTGAAGAGAACCATCTGAGACTTATCAACCCCCAGAACACTGAGAGATAATAATGCAATTGTTACCTGATAAGCCATTAAGTTCTGGTAATAGATAATACAATCCCCCCCAGCATTTCCTATCTTCTTTCCTTGCTTCATTATTTTAAATCTTAGCACTTAACATTTTCTAACATATTTTACATACTTATCTTTTATGTTACCTGTGTATTCCAACAGAATGTAAACTGCATGAAAACAGGTATTTTTGTCTGTTTTGTTCTCTATTGTATCTCCAGAGCCTAAAACAACGCTGGGTATATTATACATTATCAACAGATATGGGTTACTGAATTAAGAAATCATTATATAGAAAACATGGCATGAAAAAGGAAAGGAAAGGTTAACATTACCAATTTAATAAATGTATTAAAATGTAGACCCATTATTAATAATGAATGGTAATAGTAATTATATTTCTATTGCTTAAATTAAAGCAACTTCTCCAATAATACTCAATATAAGATATGATATAGTTGATCCTCATTATTCACAGATTCCATTATTTGTGAATTTGCCTACTTGATAAAATTTATTTATAATCCCAAAATCAATACTCTCAGTCACCTGCTAATGTGCAAAGCAGTGAAAATCTGTAGTTGTCCAGTACACATGTTTCAAGCTCAGAGCAAACAAAGTGAAACTCTACCTTCTTGTTTCAGCTTCATAATGTAAACAAGTATGTTTTTAATGGTCTATCTACTGCCACATTTTTGTGTTTTTTGTTAGTGATTTCACTGTTTAAGATGATCTAAGCATAATGCTGAAATGCTATGCAGTGTTCCTAAAGAAAAAAAGCTTGTTATGTGTCTTATATAGAAAACACATGTTAGATAAGCTTTGTTCCAGCATGAAAAATAGTGCTGCTGGCTATGAGTTCAGTGTCAATAAATCGACAATATATACTGAATAAGGTGTCTTTCTACAGAAACATACTTAAAAAAAGGTCATGTGTTGGTTAGCTGATGAAAATGTTGTGGTCAGAGGCCCACAGGAGCAATGGTTCGGTATTTGCTAATTTATTGTTCACAGCGACTTTATATAACATAACTACCAAACAATGACAATTAGTAGTATTTCTTAGAATTTTACAGAGGTCGCTATTAACAGACTATGCTCCAATTGTGTGTAGGATATGTTATACACTTCATGTAATGGATGTGAATCTAAAACATTGCAAGCATGACTTTTGGTGAATGCATATGTAATGACTCTCTGTAGGAGTCATTCTTTTTAAAATCTCCTATTGTAAATTATTTCTCAAAATGAAAAACACTTAAATGTAAATAATTACCTTCCTGTTATGTTTTATCAATTTAGATTTTTAGATACTGGTTTCTTAAAACAAGCCTTTATTACTATTAAAAATAATAGCAAACATTTATATAGTAGTTACTCTGCACTAGGCACTGTTCTAAGTACTGTATCTATATTCATTTAATATTACAAGTCCCTATTTAAAAGTGCAGAGCTGTGACTGAAATCTAGGCAATGAATTTCCAAAAGTTCATTCTCAAACTATTATACTTCCTCTCAAGATTGGTAAAAGGGAATGCTCCAGCAATACAGTTGTCAATTAGCTAGACAGACCTTCAAGATCCAACAGTATCTTATAATCCAACAATCTCTTAAGCGTTTAACACATTATGAGTCCTAACCCTGAACTGTTCTTTAGCTGTCTCCTGAGTCTTTATCACAGATGAGACTGCATATGCTTTGGGGATCATTACCAAGGAGACATTTCACACTTTTTTTGATTCCCAAAACAAGACACATAAAATGAATACTTGTTGATATAGCTGAATTTAAAATAAGCAAGCTTAATTTTTTGGGCTTACCAATAATGTAAACATAGAAATACCTGCCTATTAGCCCTTGATAAAACATGCCTACCTGAAAACAGACAAAGACCTCACCGTGCATGTAATTTTTTATATTTCTCTACTGGAAGATAAATATTTGTTTTAAAAAAAGGGAAGCAGTACAATTTAGCTAATAAGAACACAGCCTAGGTTCAAATCCTGCCTCTAGTACTTATTTACACTAGGCTACTTAATCTTACAAGGATAATAATACCTGGCCCATAGAGTTGTGACAAGCACCAACTGGTATTTTGCATGTAAAATATATGAGTAAGTGCTATAAGTGCTCAGTAAATGTTGGCTAGTGTAACTATTATTAAATTGTCATCCCCTTTTTAACGTGGTTCTGTATCATACCTACAAAAAAACATAAGACATACCAATATGTAACATCCATGTTCTTTCTGTGCCTTACGTCAGATGCTGCTCAAGAAAATGAAGTCACACAATAAGAATTTTTAAGTTCTTTCCTCTCTACCAAAGAGGCTTATTACAATTAAAGCTAGTTACGACTAGCCATATACACTTTCTAATGCTGTTAGTAAAACAAACACCCTCCAACCAGGAAAAAAAAAAATTCCAAGTAAAAGACATTCCAGAAAAACATCTGCTGTAAGTATCTACTTTGTATCATGTTCTGTGCTAGGGATATAACTAAATACACAAATGTATGGGAAAGGCTGGGGCAGGGGAGAGAGAGACTCCATGCTCAGGGAACTGAGCCTAGTGAGAGACAGATAAGATAGAGGAAAAAATCAATAATTTTTGCAATGCAGTATGATGAGCACCATTGTTTAAAAACAGAATGAGTAAAGTATCTAAATATAAAATGTGAATTTCTCAAAATTTAAATTTGTACTAATTTCTGTGACCTTGGAATTAAACTTATTAGATCAAAGAATGCTGTGCAAAGATAGCATGTGATTAATTATGAGCATTTTCTTCTAAAATTACAGTAAATTTTGAAAGGAAGTTTACTTAGAGAAAAATAGAGTACATATTTACTCTGTTTTAGAAAGCAATGGTTTCTATTGTATGAGAAATGAAAAGAAGATATTTCTTAAACCTTAAAAATCGAGCAAGTACTGAATGAGTTAGAATTAATGTTAGAGATGAACAGTGAAATATAAAGACATTATTATTGGAGCTGGTTGCAGTGGCTCACGCCTGTAATACCAGCACTTTGGGAGGCTGAGGCAGGCACATCACTTCAGGTCATGGGCTCGAGACCAGCCTGGCCAACATGGCAAAACCCTGTCTCTACCAAAAAATATCAAAATTAGCTGGGCATGGTGGCATGCGCCTGTAATCTCAGCAACTCAGGAGGCTGAGGTGGGAGAATAGCTTGAACCTGGGAGGCAAAGGTTGCAGTGAGCCGAGATCGCACCACTGCACTCTAGCCTAGGTGACAGTGAGACCCTGTCTCAAAAAAAGACGTTCTTATTAAGCTGTCAAATACAATTTTGATATTTAGATGAAAGAGAAACAGTATTTCTCATAAACGTTAAACTATTTCCTAACCCTGAACAATTTTAGACTCACAGTGTTCAAAACAGTAAATGTTAAGAAGCTACTTTCGGAAATTAGCTACTAACAGAAAGAAAAATACTATACGGTCTCACTCATATGCAGAACCTTAAAAAAAGGTAGAATACATAGGAACAGAGTGTAAAATGGTGGTTACTAGAGGTAAGGAAAGGGAGGAAATTAGAAATTAGGTCAAATGGTACAAACTTGCAGTTGTACAGGAGGAGTAAGTCTACTAATGTACAGCATGAGGACTATAGTTAGTAATACTTTATTTGCTAAAAGATTAGATTTTAAGTGCTCTTACCACAAAAATTTTAAAAATGGTAACTATGGAAGGTGATAGGATAATTTGGCTGACTGTAGTAGTCATTTCGCTACGTATTTATCAAAACATCATGCCGTACACCTTAAATATATACAAAAAATGTTATTTTGGTAACATAATTACATTCACAAAATTTAAAGAACCATGTAAATACACGTATCTAAATTGCATTTAGAGAAAAAAATCTGCTACATAAGTTTCATATCTATAATTTTTTTTAAATCTCATTTTATAATAATACTAAATTTCCATTATAATTTTCCATTTTTCTATTTATCCTGAAATGTTCAGGGTGCTTGTTTTAGCAGCTGTTCAAACATAGAACATTTTTTCCTTAACAAAATAATTATTGCTGTAATAATCTGTAATTATGGTTTATAACTGCAGTAATCCCAAAGAAATCAGTCATTACCATAGATCACAAGTAAACGTTAACTACTGTTAATGACCTATTTCTTACGGATTATTGTTTTCGTAAACCATGACCATATCACCACAAATACAGAAGAGCGAGACAATATAATACAAATGAGATCATAATATAATAATAAACTTATTTTGTAACATTAAAAGCCATTAAGCATCTAAATTAAAGCACACATAACAAGAGCATATAATTTTCTTTGTTCAACACTAACTGAAGTGTTCACACACGCAAAAAAACTAATACTACTACACACAGTGTATACAAACTAGGGCCATGTTAGGCATTTTTCATAATATAAAATGATCATTTTGAGCAGACCACAGATATCTCTAAAAGGGCAGACAGATTCTTTCCCACTGACCTTTTGACTAATACTATTAAAAATTTTCTAAGTACTAGGCATTATATTACAGACTCTGAAATGTTATTTTACTAAAACTGCATAGTGTATCCAACTATAAAAACTCCTTCGGTTTATATTAACAAAGAATGAGGTCTGGCATTTTATTCAAGAGATAGTCCTATGTAATACCACTAAATTATTACATTTCAACTAACTGATTCATGTATTTTAAAACATTCATATCTTCATTCAATATCCTTTTGAAGGAAAATAGGTCTTTTCCAACTGAATCTGTTTACATTTTAATGTAATAATTGATATATATGAAAACATATATGTAACGCATATGAAGTGTAACAAAACAAACACCTACCCAGTAGAACAATCAATGCATTAGCAATACTGTCACATCTACCTCCATACCATTCCCGAGCTTGTCCCCTTACCTTCCACCCTAGAAGTAAGCATGAGTCAATATTTAATGCTTATTATTCTTTTGATTTTTTAAAGCTTCCTCACATATACATATATTCCTAAACAAGACACTTCAAGTCTCATTTGTTTGGAGACTTTATTACGTTTCATGCTGTATGTAGCTTCCTGAGAGTTGCTTTTCATTAAACATCTTATCTCTGACACTCACTAGGTATAGTTCATTCATTTTTTTATATAATATTGTATAATTACATTATGATCTATTTATTCATCTTCATATTGATGAGCATCTGAGCTGTTTCCACTTTTTGACATTATAAACAATAATGCTATGAATATTATTGTACATTTTGTGTACAGATTTTCTAGAGCAGCAGTCCCCTACCTTTTTGGTGCCAGGCACAGGTTGCATGGAATACAATTTTTCCACGGACTGGGGAGGAAGGGGAGGTGATGGTTTTGGGATGAAACTGTTCCACCTCGGGTCATCAGGCATTATACACATTAGATTCTCAAAAGGAGTGTGCAACTTAGATCCCTCGCATGTGCACTTCACAATAGGGTTCACGCTCCTATGAGAGAATCTAATGCCGCTGCTGATCTGACAGGAGGTGGAGCTCAGGCAGTAATGCTTGTTCACCTGCCGCTCGCCTCCTGCTGTGCAACCCAGTTCCTGGCAAGCCATGAACCAGTACCGCTTCATGGCCTGGGGTTTGGGGACCCCTGTTCTAGAGGACACATGTGACGGTTCAAGGGTCAGGTCAATGGGTATTCAAATGTTCTGCTTTACAAGACTACACCAAATTCATTTCTATTCCATTTCCAACTGATTCCACTTTATACTCCCACCAGAAGTATATAAGAATTCCTTTTGACTCACATTTTTCTGTAAGATTTCTTATGATTTATTCCCAGTAGACAGGAAAATATATTTCATGTGGTCTACTTCTTTTATTGGTAATGAAGTTGGGTTTTTTGTATATGCACCATTTATGTTTTTCTGCCAGATGCCTATTTGCTATTGATCATTTTCCTAAAGAACTGTTTATTTTACTGATTTGTAAGAATTCTTCCCATATTCTTGTAGATGGTGATTCTTGCTTAGTGTGTGTTGCAAACATCTTCTAAATTCTTGTCTCTTTTTTAAGTCAATTTTAGTATTTTTTCTAGAAATTTATTCATTTCCTCATTTATTGACCTCTGGAAATAGCAAGAATGATTTTACCTTTTAAATCTTTGCTGTATCCATTATTAAATTTCCTCTATTTGTTCCTAATAGTATATATTTGTGAATTCTTTCTTCCTAATCACAAGAGGTTTGTTACTCTTGTCTTTTTAAAGATCTAACTTCTGATTTTTTAATTCTACTGTATCTTTATTTTTTAGTTCATTAATTTCTGCTTCGTTTCCTTCTTTCTCCATTCTCAGGGTTTAATCTGTTCCTCTCATTCTAACTTCTCAAGTTAGATTCTTAGGTCCCAACATTCTGGCCTTTTTTCTTTTCTAAATAAGCTTTTTGGTCAATAAATCTCCTTTGAATTAAGTCTTTCACTATATTCCAAAAATGTTGTATTTCTGTATTATGTGTTAACTCTATTTTAAAATTTTCCTCAAGATTTCTTTTACCTCATATTTACAAGTATATGTTTTAAATTCCCAAGTGTATGGGGTTTTGTGGGGTTTTTGTTTTGTTTTGCAATTTAGTTTTTTTTTAACCAATCAGCAATTAAAACTACACTGCAAAAAAAAAAAAGTGGTCTCTATGACACTGAGTCATTGACATTTGCTGAGACTCACTTCATATGCTAATGCTTGGACAATTTTTTTTAAAACACGCCATGTGCCCTGGAGAAAACTGGTATTTTCAAACTGTTGGTTCCAGTGTTTTATATACATCAATTCATTAAAGTCTGTTAATCACATTGTTCAAATCCCTCCTAAATTTACTAACTTGCTACTTATTTGATATGCCAACAATTAAGAAGTGTACTGCAGCCTTCCATTATGATGGCAAGTCTGTCCATTTCTCCCTGCACGACTATCAATTTTTGCTTGATATGTTTTGATACTACTTCACTAAGTACTAGATATCTAAAATTGTTATACAGGTTGAGTACCCCTGATCTGAAATACTTGGGACCAGAAGTGCTCTCAGTTCTGAATTTTTTCAGATTTTGGAATATTTGCATGCCTGGGTGACAATGACAATTCCAAAAATCCGAAATTCTTAATGCTTGAATGAGCATTTCCTCTGAGCATCATGTCAGTGCTCAAAAAGTTTTAAATTTTGGAGCATTTCAGATTCCAGATTTTTGAATTTGGTGTGCTCAACCTGTACCTTCCTGGTACACAAACTATTAGCTCTAGTTTTAATAATGCTTTTTCTCTTCAAGTCATTTTTGTTTGATATTAACAATGATCCTAGCCTCCTATACGTTCATATTTGCATAGCACATTTTAAAAAATCCTTTTACTTTCAACTTTCCATGTTTTAATGTTTTGAGTATGTAACTTATAATTAATTGGCTATTTTTAAAATATTCAAATTTATAATCTGGTTTAACTGTAAATTTAACTCATTTATGTTTATTGGATTAATAACATATCTGGAACACTCCTACCATTTTTTTATTGTCTATTGTCCTATTGTCTCTGGTTATTTTCCTTTCTTGGCTTTTAAAAAAATTGAATTTGCTTATTTTTCTATTTCATTATTTTCTCTTTGCTGGGTTATGGGAGACAATCATACAGTTTCTACTCTTTTAGTTGTTACCCTTGAAGTGCTGCCATTTTAATTCCCTTCCTAAATAAGACAAGGACTTAAAATAATTTTAATTCTCATCACTCCCCCGACTCTCTCTCTGACATGCTTCTGTCTTTTCATGTTTTTATTCTGTTCTTAATTCCACAAATTACACATAATCCTTATTTTGTACAGACTATGAATGTTAAAATGAATGTGTTTACAGCCAGGTGCGGTGGCTCATGCCTGTAATCCTAGCATTTTGGGAGGCCGAGGTGGGCAGATCACTTGAGATCAGAAGTTCGAGACCAACCTGGACAACATGGCGAAACTCCGTCTCTACTAAAACAATACAAAAAATTTAGCCCGGCATGGTGCATGACTGTAGTCCCAGCTACTCTGGAGGCTGAGGCAGGAGAATGGCTTGAATTTGGGAGGCAGAGGTTGCAATGAACTGAGATCACGCCACTGCACTCCAGCCTGGTTGACAGGGCAAGACTGCATCTTAAATAAATAAATAAATAAATAAATAAATAAATAAATAAATAAAATAAAATTTTTGAGTTTACCAATTTCCATGTACTCCTTTTCTTCCTTCTGGGACCATGCCCCTTCTTCCTCGAAAATAACCTTTAAAATGTTTAATAAAAACCTTTAATGAAAGATCGGCTAGTAGAAAACGTTCTGCTTTCACTTGTCTGAAATCTCTATTGTATATCGTTTTTCTCGAAAGATATTTTTGCTGATATACAATAACAGCCTGGCAGTTATTTTTGCTCAGTTATTTGAGAATAATATTCTAACACCTTCTGGCTTCCATTTTTACTGTTGAGAAGTTGAGTTATCAGTCCAGTTTACACTACTTTCTAAGTGATCTTTCTTCTCCAGCTGCTTTTAACATTTTGTCTTTGGGGTTATATAGTTTGACTAAAGTTTTGTTTTTCTGTTTCTGATGGGTATATGTTGGGCTTGCTGTATTGATGAACTCATGTCTTCTATTAAGTCAAAAAAATTCTCAGAATTTCTTCAGTTATCACCTCTCCTCCTTCCTCTATTCTATCTTTCTGGGACTCATTTTGACATACCTGACCTCATTCCATCCTTTAACGTCTCTTTTAATATTTTCATTTTCCTTTTTTCCTGCAGTCTTGAAAATTTCTTCAGTTCTAACTGCCAGTTAGCCAACTCTTTCCTCAGTTGGGTCCAATTTACTGTTTAACACATCCATGAAATTTTAGATCACAAAGTTTTCAATAAAAAAAGTTTTTTCAGGTCCTTTTCATATCCTCCTGGTTGTTTTTCACACTCCTGTTATGTGCTCATTTGTGATTCTATTTTTTATTTCTTTAACTATTTCGCACATAATTGCTTTATATTCCTATCCAATTCCAACATCTTAAGAGTCTTTAGGAGATAGGGGTTCTAAATCAAATAGATAACTTATTTTTGTTAGTGCTCATTCATGGCAGCTTACTTCATTGTTTATGTGCTGGCTTTTATTGTTTTTGTTTACTATGAACACTTGTTTAACTTAATCTGCAGGATTTCCAAGGCCCTAAATTATGGTTGATCCTTTGGAAGAGGTTTTCATTCCCTTCTGCTGGAAGCCAGGGTATCTACCAATTTAAAACCATTTTATACCCTTTTGAGGGTTCAACTTAATACAAGAGTCTCAGGTTGGTACACCTATCTTGCTACCGGCCTAAGGCTTTGTCACGAATTTCATCATTGATATTTATTATCTGTCTTTGAGAGCAACCCTGCTTTTTGCCCTTGTTTGCTGTTTGACCCGTCCCACCCCGATTAAAGTTCACTTTTTGATCTGGATGATGGGAGAGGCTGGGAGGGAGGAGGTCAGAGAAAGGAGAGACACAGAATCAGAGAGCAGAGGAGTGGGAAGAAAAA
Organism: Homo sapiens; assembly: GCF_000001405.40. Classification (NCBI taxonomy): domain Eukaryota; kingdom Metazoa; phylum Chordata; class Mammalia; order Primates; family Hominidae; genus Homo; species Homo sapiens. Next base: position 170,938,004 of record NC_000005.10, on the reverse strand, counting down.
TAAAAACCTAAGAAATTTCACGTACTTACTGTAAGCCCAGGATCTGATTATTTTGCAGCTAAAAGGCCTTTCAGAGGATGTAGTTGACCACACTTAAGTTATTACTAACTCTTTACTTTTGAAGAACCAAACACTAATTGTCTGTGCTATATATTTTTTAAATGTAATTTTATAGATAGCTGGCTAAACACAATCCAAATTATAAAATAACATAATCCAAATTAATGTCTGCACACAGAACACAAATCTGAAATGACAAAAGATTGTCATGTGTCATCAGTCAAAACAAAAACAGCACTACAACACAAGCTTACAGGGTCACCTGTAAAGATACTCAACTGAAAGGACAAGTTAGGACTGAAATCCAGCCTATATTCTGCCCACCAATCTATTTACTCTAGCATGTTGTTGCAATGGCCTGGATGAAATGGAACATTTTTCTAATTTGCACAAAGGTACCAAATGTACTACTGAGCTGGTAGAAGAGTAAAATGATCCTCAATGTCCAAAAATAATATGAAGGCTGAAATTTAGAGTTACAGGCACAGAAACAACTAGAGTTTGAGCTTCTCCTCTAATGGCCAAAGGAAAAAGCCTAGGACAGGCCCAATGTGAGAAGTCCAAAAAAGCTGATGCAAAGAGTTACACCCCAAATGAAAATACAAACTGGGTAAAAAAAATCTGCCCTAAACAGAAAGACAAGACAGAAACCTGTCTGACTTGACCTCAGTGCTAACTGAAGAGGAGGAAAAAACCTTTAAGTCAGACCTCACATGGTTTGTGGACTACATACAGACTACCAGTGTGATATGAAAATGAGATATGAAACTCCCATTCTAAGGAAATAATTTAAATGGAATTAAGTTGGTGTCCTCCACCTAGCAAATGAACTAAACATTCCAGTAAAAAGAGATGGTCAGAATGGATTTTTTAAAAGGGAACAACTATTTACCACCTACAAAAGACACACTTTAAATATAAAGACACAGGCAGGCAGGAAGTAAATGGATGGAGAAAGATATACTACATAAATAGTAAGCATAAGAAGACAGTGGAGTGGTTACAGTAATATCAGATAAGATAGATTTCAAGAGTAAAGGTCAATAAGGAAGACATAACAATCACAAATGTTTACATGATACAAAAATTTAAGGAATTAGATTATAAACAATTCCACAATCATAACTGGAGATTTAACACCCCTCTCTCTGCAAACAATATAATTACACAGACAAAAGAAATCAATAAAGACAAAGAATATATGAACATTATCTTAATTTATATTTATATTACACCCAAAAATAGCAAAATACATATTCTTTTCAAGTGTATATGCTACGTTTGCCAGGACAGACAATATTCTGGGTCATATGACAAGTCTTAATAAATTTAGAAAGACTGAAATCACACAAAATGATACTTGACCAAGGTAGGTAAAATTTAAAAATCAGTAACAATAACTAGGAAAACTCTAAATATTTGTAACTTAAAAGCACACTTCTAAATAATCCATAAATCACAAAGAACAAAGAAATAATAATTAAATTAGAAATTATCTTTAAATGAAAATAAAAATAAAACAGCGGCTTGGTGGCGCCAAGATGGCCGAATAGGAACAGCTCCAGTCTGCAGCTCCCAGAGAGACTGACGCAGAAGACAGGTGATTTCTGCATTTCCAACTGAGGTACCGGATTCATCTCACTAGGGCTTGCCAAACAAGTCGGTGCAGCCCACCTAGCACGGCGGGGCATTGCCTCACCCTGGAAGCGCAAGAGGTCCAGGAATTCCCTTTCCTAGCAAAGGGAAGCTGTGACAGACGGCACCTGGAAAATCGGGACACTCTCACCCTAATACTGCGCTTTTCCAATGGCCTTAGCAGACGGCACACCAGGAGATTATGACCTGCACCTAGCTCGGAGGGTCCCATGCCCACGGAGCCTCGCTCACTGCTAGCACAAGAGCCTGAGATGGAACTGCAAGGCGGCAGCGAGGCTGGGGAAGGGGCTTGAGCCATTGCTGCGGCTTGAGTAGGTAAGCAAAGCAGCCAGAAAGCTCGAACTGGGTGGAGCCCACGGCAGCTCAAGGAGGCCTGCCTGCCTCTGTAGACTCCACCTCTAGGGGCAGGGCATAGCTGAACAAAAGGCAGCAGAAACTTCTGCAGACTTAAACGTCCCTGTCTGACAGCTTTGAAGAGAGCAGTAGTTCTCCCAGCATGGAGTGTGAGATCTGAGAACGGACCGACTGCCTCCTCAAGTGGGTCCCTGAGTCCCGAGTAGCCTAACTGGGAGGCACCTCCCAGTAGGGGGGCGATTGACACCTCATAAGGCCCGGTGCCCCTCTGAGACTAAGCTTCCAGAGGAAGGATTAGGCAGCAACATCTGCTGTTCTGCAGCCTCAGCTGGTGATACCCAGGCAAACAGGGTCTGGAGTGGACCTCCAGCAAACTCCAACAGACCTGCAGCTGAGGGTCCTGACTGTTAGAAGGAAAACTAACAAACAGAAAGGACATCCACACCAAAACCCCATCCATACGTCACCATCATCAAAGACCAAAGGTAGATAAAACCACAAAGATGGGGAGAAACCAGAGCAGAAAAGCTGAGAATTCTAAAAATCAGAGGGTCTCTTCTCCTCCAAAGGAACGCAGCTCCTCGCCAGCAACGGAACAAAGCTGGACAGAGAATGACTTTGACGATTCGAGAGAAGAAGGCTTCAGACGATCAGTAATAACGAACTTCACCAAGCTAAAGGAGGATGTTCGAACCCATTGCAAAGAAGCTAAACCCTTGCAAAAAGAGTAGACGAATGGCTAACTAGAATAAACAGTGTAGAGAAGTCCTTAAATGACCTGATGGAGCTGAAAACCATGGCACGAGAACTACGTGATGCATGCACAAGCTTCAGTAGATTTGATCAAATGGAAGAAAGGATATCAGTGATTGAATATCAAATGAATGAAATGAAGTTAGAAGAGAAGTTTAGAGAAAAAAGAGTAAAAAGAAATGAACAAAAGTCTACAAGAAATATGGGACTACATGAAAAGACCAAATCTACGTCTGACTGGTATACCTGAAAGTGACAGGGAGAATGGAACCAAGTTGGAAACCACTCTTCAGGATATCATCCAGGAGAACTTCCCCAACCTAGCAAGGCAGGCCAACATTCAGATTCAGGAAATACAGAGAATGCCACAAAGATACTCCTTGAGAAGAGCAACTCCAAGACACATAATTGTCAGATTCACCAAAGTTGAAATGAAGGAAAAAATGTTAAGGGCAGCTAGAGAGAAAGGTCGGGTTACCCACAAAGGGAAGCCCATGAGACTAACAGCAGATCTCTCGGCAGAAACTCTACAAGCCAGAAGAGAGTGGGGGCCAATATTCAACATTCTTCAAGAAAAGAATTTTCAACCCAGAATTTCATATCCAGCCAAACTAGGCTTCATAAGTGATGGAGAAATAAAATCCTTTACAGACAAACAAAAGCTGAGAGATTTTGTCACCACCAGGCCTGCCTTACACTAAACGTGGAAAGGAACAACTGGTACCAGCCACTGCAAAAACATGCCAAATAAGACCAATACTAGGAAGAAACTGCAACAACGAATGAGCAAAATAACCAGCTAACATCATAAAAACAGGATCAAATTCAAGACCCATCAGTGTGCTGTATTCAGGAGACCCATCTCATGTGCAGAGACACACATAGGCTCAAAATAAAGGGATGGAGGAAGATCTACCAAGCAAATGGAAAACAAAAAAAGCAGGGGTTGCAATCCTAGTCTCTGATAAAACAGACTTTAAACCAACAAAGATCAAAAGAGACAAAGAAGGGCATTACGTAATGGTAAAGGGATCAATTCAGCAAGAAGAGCTAACTATCCTAAATATATATGCACCCAATACAGGAGCACCCAGATTCATAAAGCACGTCCTGAGAGACCTAAAAAGAGACTTAGACTCCCGTACAATAATAATGGGAGATTTTAAAACCCCACTGTCAACATTACACAGATCAACGAGACAGAAAGTTAACAAGGATATCCAGGAATTGAACTCAGCTCTGCACCAAGCAGACCTAATAGACATCTACAGAACGCTCCACCCCAAATCAACAGAATATACATTCTTCTCAGCACCACATCGCACTTATTCCAAAATTGACCACATAGTTGGAAGTAAAGCACTCCTCAGCAAATGTAAAAGAACAGAAATTATAACAAACTGTCTCTCAGACCACAGTGCAATCAAACTAGAACTCAGGATTAAGAAACTCACTCAAAACCGCTCAACTACATGGAAACTGAACAACCTGCTCCTGAATGACTACTGGGTACATAACGAAATCAAGGCAGAAATAAAGATGTTCTTTGAAACCAATGAGAACAAAGACACAACATATCAGAATCTCTGGGACACATTTAAAGCATTGTGTAGAGGGAAATTTATAGCACTAACTGCCCACAGGAGAAAGCTAGAAAGATCTAAAATTGACACCCTAACATCACAATTAAAAGAACTAGAGAAGGAAGAGCAAACACATTCAAAGGCTAGCAGAAGGCTAGAAATAACTAAGATCAGAGCAGAACTGAAGGAAATAGAGACACAAAAAACCCTTCAAAAAAATCAATGAATCCAGGAGCTGGTTTTTTTGAAAAGATCAACAAAATTGATAGACCGCTAGTAAGACTAATAAAGAAGAAAAGAGAGAGGAATCAAATAGACACAATAAAAAATGATAAAGGGGATATCACAACTGATCCCACAGAAATGCAGACTACCATCAGAGAATACTATAAACACCTCTACACAAATAAATTAGAAAATCTAGAAGAAATGGATAAATTCCTGGACACATACACCCTCCCAAGACTAAACCAGGAAGAAGCTGAATCCCTGAATAGACCAATAACAGGTTCTGAAATTGAGGCAATAATTAATAGCCTACCAACCAAAAAAAGTCCAGGACCAGATGGATTCACAGCCGAATTCTACCAGAGGTACAAAGAGGAGCTGGTTCCATTCCTTCTCAAACTATTCCAATCAACAGAAAAAGAGGGAATCCTCCCTAATTTATTTTATGAGGCCAACATCATCCTGATACCAAAGCCTGGTAGAGACACAACAAAAAAAAAGAGAATTTTAGACCAACATCCCTGATGAATATCGATGCAAAAATCCTCAATAAAATACTGGCAAACCAAATCCAGCAGCACATCAAAAAGCTTATCCACCACGATCAAGTTGGCTTCATCCCTGGGATGCAAGGCTGGTTCAACATATGCAAATCAATAAATGTAATCCAGCATATAAACAGAGCCAAAGACAAAAACCACATGATTATCTCAATAGATGCAGAAAAGGCCTTTGACAAAATTCAACAGCCCTTCATGCTAAAAACTCTCAATAAACTAGGTATTGATGGGACATATCTCAAAAAAAATAAGAGCTATTTATGACAAACCCACAGCCAGTATCATACTGAATGGACAAAAACTGGTAGCATTCCCTTTGAAAACTGGCACAAGACAGGGATGCCCTCTCTCACCACTCCTATTCAACATAGTGTTGGATGTTCTGACCAGGGCAATCAGGCAGCAGAAAGAAATAAAGGGTATTCAATTAGGAAAAGAGGAAGTCAAATTGTCCCTGTTTGCAGATGACATGATTGTATATTTAGAAAACCCCACTGTCTCAGCCCAAAATCTCCTTAAGCTGATAAGCAACTTCAGCAAAGTCTCAGGATACAAAATCAGTGTGCAAAAATCACAAGCATTCCTATACACCAATAACAGACAAACAGATAGCCAAATCATGAGTGAATTCTCATTCACAATTGCTTCAAAGAGAATAAAATACCTAGGAATCCAACTTACAAGGGAAGTGAAGGACCTCTTCAAGGAGAACTACAAACCACTGCTCAGTGAAATAAAAGAGGATACAAACAAATGGAAGAACATTCCATGCTCATGGATAGGAAGAATCAATATCATGAAAATGGCCATACTGCCCAAGGTAATTTATAGATTCAATGCTATCCCCATCAAGCTACCACTGACTTTCTTCACAGAATAGGAAAAAACTACTTTAAAGTTCATATGGAACCAAAAAAGAGCCCGCATTGCCAAGACAATCCTAAGCAAAAAGAACAAAGCTGGAGGCATCATGCTACCTGACTTCAAACTATACTACAAGGCTACAGTAACCAAAACAGCATGGTACTGGTACCAAAACAGAGATATAGACCAATGGAACAGAATAGAGCCCTCAGAAATAACACCACACATCTACAACCATCTGATCTTTGAATAACCTGACAAAAACAAGAAATGGGGAAAGATTCCCTACTTAATAAACGGTGCTGGGAAAACTGGCTAGCCATATATAGAAAGCTGAAACTGGATCCCTTCCTTACACCTTATACAAAAATCAATTCAAGATGGATTAAAGACTTACATGTTAGACCTAAAACCATAAAAACCCTAGAAGAAAACCTAAGCAATACCATTCAGGACATAGGCATGGGCAAGGACTTCATTTCTAAAACACCAAAAGCAATGGCAACAAAAGACAAAATTGACAAATTGGATCTAATTAAAGAGCTTCTGCACAGCAAAAGAAACTACCATCAGAGTGAACAGGCAACCTACAGAATGGGAGAAAAATTTTTACAATCTACCCATCTGACAAAAGGCTAATATCCAGAATCTACAAAGAACTTAAACAAATTTACAAGAAAAAATCAAACAACCCCATCAAAAAGTGGGCAAAGGATATGAACAGATACTTCTCAAAAGAAGACATTTATGCAGCCAACAGACATATGAAAAAATGCTCATCATCACTGGCCATCAGAGAAATGCAAATCAAAACCACAATGAGATACCATATCACACCAGTTAGAATGGCAATCATTAAGAAGTCAGGAAACAACAGGTGCTGGAGAGGATGTGGAGAAATAGGAACGCTTTTACACTGTTGGTGGGACTGTAAACTAGTTCAACCATTGTGGAAGACAGTGTGGCAATTCCTCAAGGATCTAGAACTAGAAATAACATTTGACCCAGTCATCCCATTACTGGGCATATACCCAAATGATTATAAATCACACCGCTATAAGGACACATGCACATGTATGTTTATTGTGGCACTATTCACAATAGCAAAGACTTGGAACCAACCCACATGTCCAATGATGGTAGACTGGATTAAGAAAATGTGACACACATACACCATGGAATACTATGCAGCCATAAAAAAGGACAAGTTCATGTCCTTTATAGGGACATGGATGAAGCTGGAAACCATCATTCTGAGCAAACTATCCCAAGGACAGAAAACCAAACACGGCATGTTCTCACTCATAGGTGGGAACTGAACAATAAGAACACATGGACACAGGGCGGGGAACATCACACATCAGGGCCTGCCGGGGAGTGGGGGGAGCGGGGAGGGATAGCATTAGGAGATATACCTAATGTAAATGACGAGTTAACAGGTGCAGCACACCAACATGGCACATGTATACATATGTAACAAAACTGAACATTGTGCACATGTACCCTAGAACTTAAAGTAAAATAAATAAATAAATAAATAAAATAAAAAATAATAAAAAGATTAGAAAAAAGTAATAATAAAACTACAAAACTCGTGGGATGCAACTAAAGTAATGTTTAAACAACTAAAGTAATGTTTAAAGAAAAATTGATAGCTTTAAATGTTTTTATTAGAAAAGTCCAAAAATCTAAAACTCAAAGATCTGCAGTCTGCACCCAGAATTAGAAAAGGAATATCAAATAACATCCAAAGTAAGTATAAGGCAGAAAATAATAAAGGCGAAAAAAAATCAGTGAAATAGAAAATGAAGAAAGAATAAAGATCAATGAAACTAAAAATAGTTCTCTAAAAAGATCAACAAAAGTGATGAAAATCTAGTTGGGTCACTCAGAACAAAAGAAAAAAATGACAAAATTATCAATCTCAACTTCAGCTTCTGGAGATATTAATAACAATGGAATATTAAGAATAGTTTTATTCCAATACATTGAAACATTGAGTAAATTCCTTGAAAGACACAAATGACTAAATTTGACCCCAAGGGAAACAGAAAATTTGAATAGTTCTATGCTGATTAAAGAAAATGAATTCACAATTATAAACCCTCTTGGCCCGCTGGCTTCACAGACGAATTCTATCCCTCTTAAAGAAGAAATAATAGCAATACTACACAAATTCTTTCACAAGATAGAGGAGGAAGAGGAAACACTACCGGACTCATTTTATGAAGCCAGTATTACCATGTTACCCAAACCAGGCAAAGTCACCACAAGAAAACTACAAACCAATATCCTTCATAAACACTGATATAAAATAACAAAAGTGTTGCAAATTGAATTTAACAATTTCTAAAGAAACATTATATTATGACCAAGTAGGATTTATCCTGAGAATGCAAAGCTGGTTTAACATCGAAAAATCAATTAATATAATTCACTACATTCGTAAAATAAAGGAAAAAAGTCATTTGAATAGATGCATAAAAGGTCTATTTTAAAACCCCAAAATAATACGTTATTCATTATAAACACCCTGAAGAATTGAAGAGAACTTCCTCAAACTCATGAACGTCTTCAAACAGCGTACAGATAACATCATACTCAACAGTAAAATGCTCAATGCTTTCTATTTACAAACAGAAACAAGGCAAGAATGTCCCCTTCTTAACATTTTATTCAACACTGTACTGGAAGCCCTCAGTAGAATAAGGCAAGAAAAATAAACAAAAGGCATGGAGACTGGAAAGATGACATAAAACTATCTTTATTTGCAGACAACATGATCACATAGACAATCCTAAGAATCTATGAAATAGTTATTAGAACTAATAAATTAAGCAAAGTTATAAGACACAAAGACAAAATTCAATTCTGGTTTAATAGAGTAGCAGAGAATAATCAGGAAATTTACAATAGCATCAAAAATACATAGGAATAAACTCAGTGAACAATTTCACTAACTGTACACTGAAAACAATAAAATATTGCAAAGAAAACTAAATGTTCATGAACTGCAGGCCTCAATGTTGTTAACCTGGCCCAAACTGATGTATAGATTGAGGCAAACCCTATCAAAATGCTAGCACCTACTTTGAAGAAACTGAGATGCTGATGCTAAAATTAATTAGTAAAGCCAAAAGACCTAGAATAGCCAAACGGTTTTGAAAAAAAAAAAAGGTTAAATAATTTGTATTACCTGATTTCAAGAATTATTAATGCTACAGTAATCAAGACAATATAGTATTAGCATAAGGATAAACATATATAGATCAGTGGTACAGAACAAAAAGTCCACTAATAGACTCTAGCATTTTATGGTCAACTGATTTTTGACCAAGGTGTCATAGTGATTCAATGGGGGAGAAAGATATTCTTTTCTACAAATGGTGTTAGAACAACTGGATAACTGTAAGCCTTGACCCTTAACTCACAACATTCACAAAAATGAACACCAAATGGATCACAGGCCTCAATATAATAGCTGAAACTATTAAACTTACAGAAATCATAGAACTCTTCATAGCATTAGGTTAGAAAAGATTTCATAAATACAAAAACCTCAAGCCATAAAGAAAAAAGTGAAAAAGTAGACCATCAAAATTAAAAACTTTTCACCTTTGAAAAATAGTTAAGACAAACCACAGACTGGGAGGAAATATTTGTAAAACATATATGTGAAAAAGAGATTGTATACAGAATACAGAGCATATAAAGCACTCTTGCAATTCCCTAACACATACAAAAGAGCCAACAATCCAATTTAAAAATGGGCAACAGACTTTTCACAAAATAAGAAATACAAGTGGCAAAAAAGAATAGAAAAGATGCTTAACATCATTAATCATTAGGGAATGCAAATTATAACCACAGTGAGATAACACTAGACACCCAGTAGAGTGCCTAAACAGATGGCAAATGATGGCAGGGATGCAGAGTAAGTGAAACTCTTATACAATGTTAATGGGAATGAAAAATGATACATCCACTTCATAAAACTGTTTAGTAGTATCTTACAACATTAAACATACATTTACCATATGACCCAGCACTCATCTTAGGTACCTATCCAAAAGAAATGAAAATTTCTTCTACATACAAAGACTTGTCTAAAAATGTTAATAACATCATTATTTGCAATAGCCAAAAACTCTAAGTGTAATTCAATGTCCATCAGCTGGTGAATGGATAAACTATGGTAAGGCAATACTATGGAATACTATGCAACAACAAAAAGAAACAAAATATGCTCACCATATTTGAATCTCTAAAACATATGCAAAGAAAAAAAGGAAAAAGATATTTGCAACTCTGATCACACCCAAGGAGCTCACTTTCCTAACTGTAAAAAGCTCTTAAAAATCAAGGAGAAAAAAAGGACCAACAACCCAATAGAAAAATGGCAAAGGAAATGAATTGTTCATTTACAAAAAAAAAGGCCAAATGGCTCTTATGTAAATTTAAACAATGCACAACCTCACTGATAAGAAAAATGCAAAGTTAAATTATACTGAAAAACCATTTTTCACACACAGGATTGCCAAGAATTCCAAGAAATACCTAATGTAGATGACAGGCTGATGGGTGCAGCAAACCACCATGGCATGTGTATACCTATGTAACAAACCTGCACATTCTGCACATGTATCCCAGAATTTAAAGTATAATAAAAATATATATATATTGTCCTATGAAGGATACATGGAAACAATCTCATACATTTCTAGTGGACAAGTAAATGGTATAGTCCTTACAGAAAACAACTGGGCAACATTTGCAGAATTACAAATACATTAACCTTCCACTCAACGGCAATTTCACTAGGAGAAATTTATAAATTCATATATACATAAAATGACACATACAAGGTTTATCTGTACAGGAATACTTTTAACAGGAAAAGACTAAATCACTAAAATCATTGTCAACAGTGGATGGAATGGTTAAATTATGATATATTCAAAAAGTAAAATATTACGTATGTATCTACAAAAAATAAGAGTTCTCTCTATATTATGAAAATAGCTATAAAACACTAAATGAAAACAAGCAAGAAGTAGAGCAGTGAGTATGGTATGCTGTATTCTATGCAAATAAGGGAGGTAAGAATTTATATATTCATAACTCTTTGTATATGCATATAGAAACTTTGGAAAGACATGCAAAACTAAGAATAACTACTTGCTAGAGTGAAGAAAGGGAGGACAGAGTATAGCACTGGAACAGAACACATTTTAAGTTTTTTAATTTTTGCACAATGAAATACATTACCTCTTCAAAAAAATTTTTGTGAATTAATCAAAATCAAGTTTGATATGAAAATAAGAATAACACACTAAAATGATATGCAGCAGACAGGTCGCAAACTTGGAGTGATATTTACAATTCAAAAACCTAAATGATTAATGTCAAAATACATAAAAGACTCCTACAAATCAGTGAAAGAAAGCAATCCAGTGGTGAGGTGGAAATGAACAAAAGAGATGCACATACATTTCACTGATGATGATACAACAATCAATAAACATGAAATAATACTAAACTTATTAATCAGCAGAGTGAAAAGTAAAATACCTAGGAGGTATATTATTCTCAACTAGATCATCAAAAATGCAGGTATAATAATACGAGCTGCTGGCAAGAATCTAGGTCCAGGTCAGCAAACTACAGCCTATAAGACAGCCTCCTGTTTTTGTAAATAAAACTTTACTGAAACACAGACACGAGTATGGTCTACGGCTGCTTCCTGGCTAAAGGCAGACTTGAGTAGTTGCGATGGAGACCTGAAACATTTACTATTTGGCACTTTAAGAAAAAGTTTGCCACTTCCTGATAGAGATTGATGGGAACACCTGAACACTATTGGTAGGATGTCAAATAGTACAAACACTTTGTAAAATAGTTTAACAGTACCTACTAAAGCTGAATATATAATGGATATCACAACAATTGTTAAGGAGCACTGATTTTATTAGCAAAAAACAGAAAACAAATACCTATTAACAAGAGAATGCACAAATAAACTGAGGTACATTCAAACAACGTAACAGTGCATGGTACTGAAAATGAAGGAACTATAGCTATATGCATCAGTATGAGCTGTCATAAATAAAATACTGAGAAATGATAATAAAGTTGTCAAAGAATAAATGCAGTATGATTCCATTTGTATAACGTTGAGAAATATGCAATATCATGTATTATTTTCGGAATGCATACACATGTGGTAATAATGAAGAAAAGGCATGAATTGATAAACACAAAATTCAAGATTGTTAAGTATTTTCTGTTGATAGGAAAGAGGACAGATTTGGAAAGAGGAACAAAGATGCTGCAAAGGTATTGGCAAACGACCTATTCTTTAAGCAAGGTAATAGTGTTTGTGGTTACTGCTATTCTGTATGTCTCAATATATATAAATATCCTTTTATATGAATTTGATATTTAATAACTTTCAAAACTCTTCTAGAAGAATAAATCAATAATGAAGAGACTAAATGCTGCAAAAGTGTTAGTTGTCCCCATTTAATTTACAAATAAGATCCCATAAAAGAAAAAAAACACTGAAGTAGAGAAGATTATCTCACACTAGCCCCTCATCAGTACTGTGTGACTTAACGCAAGATGGACAGATAATAAAACGCATTTTTAAAAAACATTATTCAAATGTAAAGGATAATCTTCTAAAAATTTTTTTAAGTTAAAATGGGAAATCACTGGAAGTAAATTTGATTATGATCTCTTACTAAACTCACTTTCCAATACAAGATAAACAAATATGCAAAACAACTTCAGAACTATAAAGTGCTTTCTACTAGAAATTTCCATTCCTGTAGTGCATCTTAACAAGAAAATTGGAAAAATACATTTATTTTTACTCCCTATGTTCCTGAAAGGACCTAAAAGGATATACAGAAATAAATACCTCCTCCGTCAATAAAGGGTTAAAAACAAAATAAAGAAATTGAGGAATAAAAATAATAGTAAAGCCATAACGAAGGCTAATACCTAAAAGCAAAATCACAATGATATATTATATACTTTTTATTGGCTGAAATTGGGTTCTGAGTTTGCAATCAAGTATAGCAAAGAAGAAAACACAACCAGTTAAGATAGTTATGTTCATAAACTATCTGCTCAAGGGCCATTATCAATTTTTCTTCATATTGATTCCAGAGAGAAGTATATCCTATCAATCTTATAGAGGAAAACTGAAAAAAAAAAAAATCAACCAACAAATTACCAATATACCCAGGAGGTTAATAAAATTAATGGTTTATTAGGGGACCAGGAATTGGGGAAAATACATAAAAATAACTTGCAGTAAAACTATTAAAGTGATTAATGATGTTACTTAATATTCAACATAATACTCAGTAGTCATATAAAGTTTACTGACCTTCCTGAATGGTGATGTCCACAGTTACACCAGAATATGGATGCAGAAGTTTTTGGTAATTCTGTGCATTTTGGTCGAATAACTGCACAAGAAGAGCACATGTCTTTTCATATTCACATCTGCTGACCGTGCACAACTGCTCCAACTGCTGAAACACAGTGGCAGTATCATCCAGTGGATCATCTAAGTGATCTCTGCAAACACAGAATAAGTTTGCAGACAACATTAGAATGTGAAGCACTTTTATTCACCACAAATAAACTTCATGTTAAATAAAAATTCTATAATAAAGGAATAAAAGACAGAGGCAGGAGGTTCACTTGGGGCCAGGAGTTTGAGACCAGTCAGGCCAACATAGCGAAATCCTGACTCTAAAAATACAAAAGTTAGCTGGGCATGGTGGCACACACCTGTAATCCCAGTTACGCAAGAGGCTGAGGCATGAGAATTGCTTGAACTTGGGAGGCGGAGGTTGCAGTGAGCTAAGATTGCGCCACTGCACTCCAGCTGGGGTGACAGGGCGAGACTCTGTCTCTAAAAAAAAAAAGAAAAAAGAAAAGAAATAAAAAATAAAATAGAAATGTATTAGAAGGTAAAAAATAAAACTGTCTATATCTGAAGATGGCATGATTATGTAAACAGAAAATATTTTTAGAAACACAAAAATGCTACTCAAACTAATAGGTAAGTTTAACTAAGGTCATAGCATACGAGGTCAATATACAAAATGACCTGTATTAGTAGATATTGGCAGTGAACAACTAGAAATTCAAATTTAAAAAACAGTATCATACAAAGGCAGTAGGAAACATAAAATATCAATTAAATCTACCTAAATGTATGCAAGATCTGAAGGCTAAATACCATAAAATGTTTGATTAAAGAAAAATCAGAGAAGAGCTAAATAAACTAAAAGATAGACATGCTCAGAGACTAAGAGACTCAATATTGTTGAGATGTCAATTCTTTCCCCAAGTTAATCTATAGTTTCAATGCAATCCCAGTCAAAATCCCAGCAGAACTTCTTTGTAGAAACTAAGAAACTGATTCAAAAATATACATGGAAAAGCAAAGAAAGTAGAATTGCCAAAACAATTTTGAAAGAGAAAAGCCACTTAAAGAACTCATACTATCTGATTTCAAAGCTTATTATAAACCTAATCAAGACAGGGTACTGGTGAAAGAACAGACACATAGATTAATGAAGACAGAGTCCAGAAATAGAACTACATGTATGCAGTAAATTAATTTTTGACAAAAGTGTAAAAACAATTCAATGGAGAAAGGATAGTCTGTTACACAAATGATGTTGAAATAACTGGTCATCTATATGCCAAAAAGAAGAACTCTAGCCTTATGCCAGGTAATATACAAAAATTAGCCTGAAAGAGATCACAGACTAAAATGTAAATTCTAAGACAATAAAACTCCTAGAAGGGAAAATAAAAGAAAAATCTCTGTGACCCTGGATTAGTTTCCATAGGTATAACAACAAAAACATAATACATAAAAGAAAAAATAAAGCATTGGACTTAGTCAAAATTTAAAACTTCTGCTCTTCTAAGGACTCTGCTAAGAAAATGAAAAGGCGGAGGGCTTCCAAGATGGCCAAATAGGAACAGCTCTGGTCTGCAGCCCCCAGTGAGATCAATGCAGAAGATGGGTGATTTCTGCATTTCTAACTGAGGTACATGGTTCATCTCATTGGGACTGGTTCGACAGTGGGTGCAGCCCACGGAGGGCAAGCTGAAGCAGGGCAGGGCGTCGCCTCACCCAGGAAGCGCAAGGGGTCAGGGGATTTCCCTTTCCTAGCCAAGGGAAGCCGTGACAGACTGTATCTGCAGAAACAGTACACTTCTGACCAAATGCTGTGCTTTTCCCACAGTCTTAGCAACCTGCAGACCAGGAGATACCCTCCTGTGCCTGGCTCAGTGGGTCCCACGCCCACGGAGCCGTAACTCACTGCTAGTGCAGCAGTCTGAGATCAAACTGCGATGCTGCAGCTTGACGGGGGAAGGGGGGTCCGCCATTGCTGAGGCTTGAATAGCTCACAGTGTAAACAAAGCACAGACTGGGCAGAGCCCACCGCAGCTCAGCCTCTGTAGATTCCACCTCTTGGGGCAGGGCATAGCAGAACAAAAGGCAGCAGACAGCTTCTGCAGACTTAAACGTCCCTGTCTGACAGCTCTGAAGAAAGCAGTGGTTCTCTCAGCACAGCGTTCAAACTCCGAGAACGAACAGACCACCTCCTCAAGCGGGTCCCTCACCCCTGTGTAGCCTGACTGGGAAACACCTCCCAGTAGGGGCTGACAGACACCTCAAACAGGCAGGTGACCCTCTGGGATGAAGCTTCCAGAGGAAGGATCAGGCAGCAATATTTGCTGTTATGCAGCCTCTGCTGTTAATACCAAGACAAACAGGGTCTGGAGTGGACCTCCGGCAAACTCCAACAGACCTGCAGCTGAGGGGTCTGTTAGAAGGAAAACTAACAAACAGAAAGGAATAGCATCGACATCAACAAAAAGGACATCTACACAGAAACCCCATCTGTAGGTCACCAACATCAAAGACCAAAGGTAGATAAAACCATAAAGATGGGGAGAAACCAGAGCAGAAAAGCTGAAAATTCCAAAAACCAGAGCACCTCTTTCTTCTCCTCCAAAGGACTGCAGCCCCTCACCAGCAAGGGAACAAAACTGGACGGAGACTGAGTTTGATGAGTTGACAGAAGTAGGCTTCAGAAGGTTGGTAATAACAAACTTCTCCGAGCTAAAGGAGCATATTCTAACCCAATGAAAGGAAGCTATGAACCTTGATAAAACATTCCATGCTCATGGATAGGAAGAATCAATATCATGAAAATGGCCATACTGCCCAAGGTAATTTATAGATTCAATGCTATCCCCATCAAGCTACCACTGACTTTCTTCGCAGAATTGGAAAAAGCTACTTTAAAGTTCATATGGAACCAAAAAAGAGCCCGTATAGCCAAGACAATCCTAAGCAAAAAGAACAAAGCTGGAGGCATCACGCTACCTGACTTCAAACTATACTACAAGGCTACAGTAACCAAAACAGCATGGTACTGGTACCAAAACAGATATATAGACCAATGGAACAGAACAGAGGCCTCAGAAATAACACACATCTACAACCATCTGATCTTTGTCAAACCTGACAAAAACAAGCAATGGGGAAATTATTTCCTATTTAATAAACAGTGCTGGGAAAACTGACTAGCCATATGTAGAAAGCTGAAACTGGATTCCTTCCTTACACCTTACACAAAAATTAACTCAAGATACATTAAAGACTTAAATGTAAGACCTAACACCATAAAAACCCTAGCAGAAAACCTAGTCAATACCATTCAGGACATAGGCATGGGCAAGGACTTCATGACTAAAACACCAAAAGCAAGGCCAACCAAAGCCAAAATTGACAAATGGGATCTAATTAAACTAAAGAGCTTCTGCACAGCAAAAGAAACCATCATCAGAGTGAACAGGCAACCTACAGAATGGGAGAAAATCTTTGCAATCTATCCATCTGACAAAAGGCTAATACCCAGAATCTACAAAGAACTTAAACAAATTTACAAGAAAAAAACAACCCCATCAAAAAGTGGGCAAAGGATATGAACAGATACTTCTCAAAAGAAGACATTTATGCAGCCAACAGACATATGAAAAAATGCTCATCATCACTGGTCAGAGAAATGCAAATTAAGACCACAATGAGATACCATCTCATGCCAGTTAGAATGGTGATCATTAAAAAGTCAGGAAACAACAGATGCTGGAGAGGATGTGGAGAAACAGGAATGCTTTTACACTGTTGGTGGGAATGTAAATTAGTTCAACCATTGTAGAAGACAACGTGGCAAGACATTGTGCACATGTACCCTAGAACTTAAAGTATAATAAAAAGAAAGAAAATGAAAAGGCAAACAACACAGAAAATATTTGCAAATACATAACAGAAAGACTTGTGAAGAAAATACACAGACTGCTCAAATCTCAATATAAAAAAAAAAAAAGAAAATATACAACCCAATTAAAAAATGGGAAATGGATTTGACTAGCACACTAGCAATGAATACATACAGATGGTAAATAAGTGCATGAAAATATGCTCAACATTATTAGTCATTAAGGGAAAACCACAATGAGGTACCACTACATAGTTATTAGAATGAGTAAAATTTTTTCAAACTAACAATATCAAGTGCTAGTGAGAACACAGAGCAATTGAGTCTTTCATACATTGTGAGCGGGAATGCAAAATGGTACAGCCACTTTGGAAAATAGTTCGGCAGCTTTTACGAAGTAAAATATATACTATATTTAACATGCATCCCAGGAATCCCACACCTAGCTATTTACCCAGGAGAAACAAAAACTTATGTTTGTACAAAATCTGTGCAGGAGTATTTGCATCAGTTTTATTTACAATGGCCAAAAACATAAACAACTCAAAAGTCCAGCAACAGGTGAATTGGTAAACAAACTGATATATCCACAAAATGGTATACTACTCAGCAATGAAAGTAAAGTACTAACACAACACAGAGGAATCTCTCAAATGCATTATGCTAAGTGGAAAAAAATCAGACTAAAAAGCTGCATACTGTATAATTTCATTTATACAACATTCTGGAAAAGACAAAAAAAAAATTACAGGTACACAAAACAGATCAGTAACTGCCAGAGATGAGGGTGAGGAGAGGGGCTGACTGAAAAAGGAGCCAAAAGAACTATCTGGATTGATGGAACTAATCTATATCTCAATTGTGATGGTAGTTATACAATTGTGTGCACTTGTCAGAAATCATACAACTGTACGCTAAAAGGGGTGAATTTTAAATTTATAACTTTATCTTAAAAAATTCCAAGTGTCAAAAGGAAATACAACAAAAACATTTAGTTTTTGAATACCTCACAACTATGGCAACAGAGTCCAACCGAGAAGTGATAAAGGCCTTCGTGATTTCTGGTGCATAAGTGTCTAATAGGTGGGGTTCAGTTGATTTCACAAAAGGAACAGATGCTACCATCCTTTGCCACAGAGTTAATAAATAATGAACACTGTTAGGAGCAAATTCCCAGTGCTACAAAGAAATAAAGCAGAAGTTATTTAAAATATTACATCTTCCTACAATAAGAATTACAGAATAAAATTACTAAACATACATTTTTAAATTAACTTTTATTCTTACTATAAAACTAATGAACACATAATATAGCAAATTTATAAATGCAAAAAAGTATAAAGAAACCAACATCTCTATTATTTTACCACCCAGAGTAACATTAAAATATTACTCTACTTCCCTCTAATCATTCCATGAATATTTTTCAGAGTTGACATCCTGTGAAAAACATGGTTTTATAATCTCTCCCTTAAAATTATTTTAAAAACTTTTCTATAATATAATCTGTAAAAATTTTATTTCTTCACATAGATTTTATTATAGTTTCTCAAGCCATTATTCAATTATTAGATATTTAAATAGCTTCTCAATTTTTATTATATACATTTCAATGAATTTTTTTACCTAAAACCCTGTAATGAACATTTCCAGCAAAGTAATCAAATTAATAGATATTTTTCAAATACCCCCACCAACCCTTACCAAGAAGCTGTTTTAAAACTGGCTACAGTTTAACATAATTACATATTTTTACCTACCTGTAGGCTAGTAATGGTAAAATTAGCAATCAATCTAATAACTTCAGGATATTCCTTCACCATAACTAATTCTCCCAGCTGATAATTTGTCTTTAAACGAGCCAAAAATCGACAAAATTCATGATAATTACCTGGATCAGACAAACCCTAAATTATGAGACAAAAAGAAAGGCTTAAAAACAAGCCAACCTATGGACAATAAAATCAGTAAAACCCCAAAGCATCTTAAGTCTCCCAATTTTCATGAGTACTTAAAATACTCTGTGTCAATTGGGTAGTTAACAATGTAAAAAAATAGAGGGATTCTTGCTAGGTCTAGTTTTGTCATCAATGATTAATAACAAGGAATCCAAAGTAGAGGCCTTGGAAGAAGATCTGCATCACAATGACTAAATTATAATTTTGGGGAAGCTATTATAGTACACAAAAGTTGTGTGTGTGTGTGTGTGTGTGTGTACTGTGGTTTAAACAGAAGTCAACAAAGGACCTGGAAAATACTTAAGATTAAAAGTAAACTCTAGGAAAGAACAATACTCACCAGACTGAAATGGTATGTATGAGCACACAAATAACAGAAATTTTCTTAATTAAACAAATATTTATTGAGTATCTACAGGCACTGTACCCTCAAGCAACTCCGTGTCTCTCCATGTCTCTAGACAGTCATTCAAACAAATTACTGCAATGTAAGGAATAAAGTTGAGCAAATAACTAAAGTTGAGCAAAAACAAAATTCACCCAGGTAAATTTTGGAGGAGTATAGATTAAAAGGAAGTAACAAAAAAGGTCTGCCCAGTTGTCTGTAAGCTCCTTGAAAACAGTTTTAGTATGCACTGTAGCTGGGATGAAACAGAATTCAAAAAGTATCTTTGTAAAACTGAAAGTCTCTAAGCAATTTCATTCATAGGAGCTCCATGAAATATATAGAAAATAGTACCTATTAAAGAAAAATAACCAAAAAAATTTTGTAATCATACATCTTTAAAACATGTTTGTGATTCTAAAACAATCTAATATTCATACCAACTTTTACAGCCATGAAACATTAACGTAAGGATGTTGGAAAATCATTTAAGAGAAATTATCAGGAATCGGCATATTATCTTCCACCTATTGGTTGATGATAGTGAGTTAAACAACTAAACATTTTAAAGTATATTGGTAAAATCCTCTTTATCAGCAAAACAGAAAATTTCACAACTATACTAACATTGAAAAGATAAAATAAATGCATAACCCATAAAACACTTCTGAGAATATGCAAAAACAATTGCTTTTTGTAGAACATTCTTACTGAAGATATATGTCACCCCCCAAAATTTATTAATAACCAAGAGAATTAGGTAAACCTCCTTAAATCATTTAACCTTTAAAAATCTGTATTTTACAGATATTTTAAACCAAAATCAAAATAAAAAGTAAAACAAAATATTTTATGTAAGCACCCAAATTACTCAATAGCAGCTTTGCAATTCTCTGAAATGAATATTGGCAATGAAGCTCTAAAGTTAATGCAGAAAAAATTTTAAAATCTACAAACTCTTACTTGTCCACAAGAGGGCAAGAAAACATAATTTCATAATTTAAGGCCACTTGCTCCAATATTAACATTCAGATTTATATTATGTCTTCTAGTTCATAAGGTGGACATACTGAATTAATCACTTCAGTAGTTTAAGAGCAAGCAAAGAAATGTAATACAATGGTAAAAGACAG
This sequence comes from Homo sapiens, assembly GCF_000001405.40. NCBI lineage: Eukaryota > Metazoa > Chordata > Mammalia > Primates > Hominidae > Homo > Homo sapiens. The sequence goes on along the minus strand of NC_000005.10, from coordinate 170,917,143 downwards.
AAGCATAGTAAGATAGATAATCTCTAGTCATATTTGCCTAAAAGAAAAAAATAAGAGAAACACAGAAGTCAGCCATGGAAACATCCATTTTTAAAAACTACCCATCTCCACCACAAATGAGATCTAAGGGCTGAGCATGGTGGCTCATGCCTGTAATCCCAGCACTTTGGGAGGCCGAGGCAGGTGGATCATTTGAGGTCAGGAGTTGGAGACCAGCCTGCCCAACATGGTGAAACCCCATCTCCACTAAAAATACAAAAATTAGCAGAGGTGGTGGGTGCAAGCCTGTAATCCCAGCTACTCAAGAGGCTGAGGCAGAAGAATCACTCGAACCCGGGAGGTAGAGGTTGCAGTGAGCCAAGATTGCACCACTGCACTCCAGCCTGGGCAACAGAGCAAGACTTGATCTCAAAAAAAAAAAAAAAAGCTCTAAGGAAGATATATATGATACTAAATGTTTTCTTCCAGAATCATAATAAATTCATGATGAGTTTATTATGTGCCTTTAGCTGAAAAACTGTATCTCTATATGCTAAGTATTAAATTACTTCATAAATACCTGAGGGTTTTCAAGTATCCTTTTTACTCCCTTAATTAAATTACCAAGGTACTTGGCACGTTCAGGACTGTTAAATAAGGACCTTCTTGTCGAAGCAAACTGAACTAAACATGAAAGTGCCTAAAAAATACCAAAAAAATTTCATTTCAATTTTCAAAGTATCTGTGGCCACATGTAAGGAATACTAGTCTTTACATTTAAAATGAATTTAATTTTAATGCATTATAGAATATAACGCATTATAATGCAATATAGAATATAACGCATTATAATGCAATATAGAATATAACGCATTATAATGCAATATAGAATATAACGCATTATAATGCAATATAGAATATAACGCATTATAATGCAATATAGAATATAACGCATTATAATGCAATATAGAATATAACGCATTATAATGCAATATAGAATATAACGCATTATAATGCAATATAGAATATAACGCATGATAATGCAATATAGAATATAACGCATGATAATGCAATATAGAATATAATGCATTATAATGCAATATAAAAAGCATTATAGAACATAAAATTAATAAAAGCTAAATATCATCAACCACTCCCACCACCCACAATCCTTCTACCCCATCATAAAAATTCCTATTTGTATGTATTCCCCTCTAATGTTTTTTCATTAACAAAATCAGCCAGTTCAAGGCCTGTACATGCTATACATTTAATAGGCTCTCAATTGCTTATGATATCTAGTTCCATTTTCTAATGAATCAGGTTTTCTACCAAAAAGAAAATATGGTTTTGTGGTACAGTATGTTTGGGAAATAGTGCACATTATGTACCGTGGTATCCTGTTGGGGGGGGCAGGGGGAACCTGTAATGTAATCCAGCATATTCCAAATTTAATTGGTCAAGGAATATTTTACACCATCTATTAGCATCTTAAAAAATGGTCTGAAAATGGTGCTGGAAAAGGTAGGTACTTTACGGTGAGAAAAGAGACAAAAATCAAATGACGCCCTTTTTAGATGTGCTCCAGTTTGCCACAGCCCCTACCATGAGAACCTAAAACCCAAATTAAAAACAAAAACAAAAACAAAAAACTCCTTAGGAAACTCAGAAGTACAAGTATAGGAACCACTAGCGTACTAAAAACACCTGGGGTTGGGGGCAAAAAAGACCTGTGTTTCAATCTCAATGCCAATATTTTCTTTGTTGCCCTGGGGGAAGTCACTTAGTCAATCTGGGTCTGTTTTCTGTTTTTCTGGGTCTACATAGTAGGGATTTTTATCATTTACCTTTCAGGGCCACTTTGAGGATTAAGTGAGATAAGTATCATACAATAAATAGGACATGTCCAATAAATGTTCATTACTATCTCTCAAAGCAGTTGTTTTCTACTTTATTTTTTAAGCACTAGTACCTTTTTTGTTTTATCCCAAAACATAATTACATGAAACCATGGTTTTTACACAACTAAAAGCAAGACTGTTGCGACTAAAAGACAGAAGGCTGTGGCCCCAACTGGAAACATGAGGTACCCTGAGAAACCCAGTTTAAAAAGCACTACCTTAAACTCTAGATTCAAGAGAAGACATGTTTTTTTAAAAAGGACATTTCTGTGAATGCTTTCCTCCCTTTTAGGCAATAAGATACCTAAACAAACACATCACTGATATATACTTTAAATATGCAATATGTTTTTCAGAAAATGGCAATATTAGAACTCCCCAGCTTTACAAGTTTAAACTTAAACTTACAATTTTTAATAACCTTGACAGATTTGTTTTAGGCTCCGCAAAGATGGAGCTAAGAGTCTCAAAGTTGTATACAACTACAGAGTATCAAGAACTTTTTAAGCATGCAATAGAATTTACACTGATTCAAAAAATAAATAAATAACTGGCTTGATGAACACAATTCAAGTGAGTAGATCCCCTTCATTTCTTATTCAGAGATCTGAAGGGGACAGCCTGTCAAACCTAAGACATGGAGCCAGGCAAGGTTGAGGAAGAGTTAGAGAAGGGTAGTAGAAGGGAAAGTCCTTGTGTGGTGGTCAGCTGCTGGACTTAGGCCCTATGGGAACTGAGTAGGAAAAAAATATGTATTTAGGGATTGGTAGGTTGTCCTGGCTCTGGGCAAGAGCTAAATCAACAGTTACTGGTTCTAGGCTCACCCATGAAATAAAATGTAACGTTGACAAAACAAACAAAATTTGACAAATAGTTTAAGCAGTATACATCCCAGAAAATATAAGAACTTACTGTGAAAAGTAAACTCAATTGAATATATAAACAGAATTTTTGAAGTAAATATATACCACCCCTTATTTACACAGGTATTTTTTAACGAAATAACGAATGACTTTTACTTACTAACTGAGATAGTAGTGGTGGAAGTGAATGATACAAATTGAAGAAAAGATCCAATGTTTCTGGTTCCAGGAAAACTGGGAAAAAAAATTATTTTCTAACACCATTACTTTCAATTCAGTGATCTTAACAAAGTAAGACAATATCACACAAACTGAGAAATCCAAGGCCTCTGCATGTGGCCATTCCTTCCAGTTAGGCCTATTTTTAATTCCTAGCTATTTTCCTTTGAAAGATGAAATAATACAGAGAGAAATTAACTAGCCAGGCTCTTCCTCATGTAGCACTTCCTCTATGTAGCACTACAGTTTGAACTGGGAGAATCTTCTTACTATTTTCATTTGTATTCAAGTAATATAAACATTGAGAATTCAAACAGTATCAAAAAGTAAACAGTACTAAAAAGCTTACAATAAAAAAAAAACTGTACCCTATCCCATTCCAACTGCTTTTCAACTTAGCTATAGTTACATTCATGTTTCCAAATAATAGCGTATACTATTTCTTCATTTGATTGTTTTACTTTAGACATCAACTGCATTCCTATTACAGTGTGTAACGCTTTAGCTGTCTAATCACGAATGCCACAACCCTACCACCCCTACCACTCTCTCCACAATCAATCCTCTCAAAAACCCATCCACTATTATCACAATTTGTGATTAAATCAATTCTATGTGTTTACATTTATTATGACTATGTAAATAATATTAACGGCTGAGCTGTAATTACATCACATTTCTAATACTCGCTGGACTTAATCATACCATCTTTTCTGTGCTTAGTTGTGTATCTGTCACTAATTCTCTCCAAATGCTCTGAGAGACTGGCACAATGTTCTTCATAACATGTTCCACACCATCAATAGCATCAAATAACCCATCATTTGCATTCACCCACCCCTACCTCCCAGAGCCTTCAACTTGAACTGGTTGCTCCTTAACTTTGTTATACAACTGTAGCCTTTCTATGTCTTTCACTGTCATCTTGTGTTGAAGTGCCCATTTCCCAAATTCCATTATCTTCCACTTTCTTTGCTTGTACATCAAGTAGCTTCCTTAGAGCAAGTACATAAGGGATAAATTTTGGAAGGACTCGCATATCTGAAAATGTCTTTATTCTATCTTAGATTTGATAAGTTTGGTCTAGTTTGGAAACAATTTTCCCTCAGAAGCCTGAAGATACTTCTCTATTGTTTTCTAGCTTTCAGTGCTGCTGTTGAGAAGTCTAATACCTTCTTGACCCCAATCCTCTGTAGGAGGAGACTTACTTTTTTCTTTCTGGTAAGTTTTAGAATTTTTTTCTTTATCCTTACTATTCTAAAATGTCATGATTATAAAGCTTAGTGAATATCTTTTTTCATTCATTATGCTGGGAACTTGGTGGGATCTTTCAATCCAAAAA